>NC_000002.12:32714379-32867130 GCF_000001405.40 Homo sapiens | reverse complement strand
GGAAAAAAAAAAAAAAAAAAAAAAAGAAAAAAAAAAAAAGAAGAAAAAAAAAAGAAAAAAAAAAAAAAAAAAGAAAAAAGAAAAAAGAAAAAAAAAAGAGAGAAAAAGAAAGAAGAAAAAAAAAAAGAAAAAAAAAAAAAAAAAAAAAAAGAAGAGAAAAAAAAAAAAAAAAAAAAAGAAAAAAAAAAAAGAAAAAAAAAAAAAAAAAAAAAAAAAAAAGAAAAAAAAAAAAAAAAAAAAAGAAAAGAAAAAAAAAAAAAAAAAAAAAGAAGAAAAAAAAAAAAAGAAAAAAAAAAAAAAAAAAAAAGAAAAAGAAGAAAAAAAAAAAAAAAAAAAAAAAAAAAAGAAAAGAAAAAGAAAAAAAAAAAAAAAAAAAAAAAAAAAGAAAAAAAAAAAAAAAGAAAAAGAAAAAAAAAAGGGAGAGGGAGAGGGAGAGGGAGAGGGAGAGGGAGAGGGAGAATGGAATATTTAGACATTTGTTTGTGTCATCTCTGATTTCTTTCAGCAGTGTTTTGTAGTTCTCCTTGTAGAGATCTTTCATTTCCTTGGTTAGATGTATTTCTAGGTATTTTATCTTTTTTGTGGGACTGTGTTCTTGATTTGGCTCTCAGCTTGAACATTATTTGTGTATAGAAAGTGCAGCTGATTTTTGTACATCGTTGTATCCTGAAACGTTATTGAAATCATTTATCAGGTCTAGGAGCCTTTTGGTGGAGTCTTTAGGGTTTTCTAGATATAGGATCATATTGTCAGTGAAGAAAGATAATTTATCTTCTTCTTTTCCTATTTGGATGCCTTTTTTTCCTTTCTCTTGCCTGATTACTCTGGCTAGGACTTCCTGCTATTTTTTCTTTGAAAGTATTTTATCTTTGAAAATAGTTTTTGAATAGAACTATTTTATAGGTCCACTAATATAAACCAATTTACTGGTCAAGAAATAAATCTTTTAGAAAAGTTAACATTCTAATTTTTCTGCCCTCCTTAACTGTCAAAGTATCTTGATTTAGAAAACATATGGTTACCCTAATAATGATAATAATAGCCAACATTTATCAAGCATTTGTTGTGAGCCCAGCACTTTGCAGGTATTAGCTCATCTGACTCACAAAACAAGCCTATGAGGGCAGTAACGTTAGTATCAACCAACTTAACTGATGAGAAAAGTGTACCTTTAGGTGGTTTGGCCACTTATCTAAGGTCATGTGGCTTCACAAGCCTCTAAACTCAGGCCTTGTCTGACTCTCAGACCAGGACATTTTAACTGATCCAGTAGATAAGTTCACCATCGATTCTGATTTAAAAAGGAAAATTGCCCAGTGATGTTTCTAGGAATGAGCCCAGATCTCTGATGTAACCATCAGAAACCTGCTGCCTCCAAACATGACTAATTTGTGGTGCTCACCATGGCTGATGAGCAATCTTCGCATCCTGGCACTGCTAATAAGGGGTCACAGAAAAGTCTGTTCAGCCTCCAACAGTTATTAATCACCAACTCTATTTGTGCAAGTCCCTGTGGGGTTACAAAGGGACAACAGATCTTGCTCCTGCTCCCCAGACTTTTCCTTGAGTGAGGAAGTAAGTGGTGACATGTGCCACTTAAGTCCCCCCAGGGTAATGTCACCTTCCTCCATCTTGCAGGGGCTCTCCTCTGGCTGAGAAACAGAGAGAGAGGCAGACAGAGGGAGAGATGTAGACAGTGACCTGCAGCATGAGGTCTTATACCTTTGTCACAGATACGACACTATGTGCTAATGAAGACATCTACCCTATAATACCCAGCATGAATGTTAGAGAAAGACAAAAAGTGTTTATCAACCCTTCTGGCAGAAAAATGCACCCCCTCCCCTTTTCTTAGAAACAGGGTCTTGCTCTGTCACCTAGGCTACTGTGCAGTTGTATGATCATAGCTGAGTACAGCCTCAAACTCCTGGGCTCAAATGATCCTCCTGCCTCAGTCTCCCAAGTAGCTGGGACTGTAGGTGTGTGCCCCAATGCCCAGCTACTTTTTAAATTTTTTGTAGAGACGAGGTTTCGCTATGTTGCCCAGGCTGGTTTCAAACTCCTGGTCAAATGATCCTTCCGTTGCAGCCTCCCAAAGTGCTGGAATTACAGGCATGAGCCACTGTGGCCGGCTGAAAATTCTTGGATGTTATCATTTCACTATTAGTATGTGCTGTGGACTGTATCTTATAAACAAATAAAGGCACATAGTTGCTTGAATAACTGGCTAAAGGAATTTGCTCCAGAGAGACTAACAAATCAGGAAAACTCATGAAAACTTATTCCATTCCAAAACTCATGATGTTGCACAGAAGAGATGTGCTTTACTCTAGCATGTAAGATCTTTCCCTTAGAAAAGGGATCATGACATCATGATGTTTATAGATTACACCAAATCAAATTTAAATATGAACCATAAGGATCATAATCAGTCCATAGGTATGATACATCTACTAAGTACTCAATTTGGTGCTTTCAAAATTCCCTTATTTACTCTATCACAAATTGGCCATGTATTGAGAGAAGGCACAAAATGGAACCTTCTGGTTGGAGGATTAGCCTCTCTTCTTTGGTATCCCCCAGTGGCCTTAGCTCAGAGCCTTCTGGTAGACGTCCAACTATTACTAAATAAACACAATTACTGCATATTTCTGATACCAACTCGTCCTTGGCAGTCTGAGAAGGGATTTCTTGAAAAGTCATTAAAAGTCTGATTTCAGAACTCATTTCTAGGCAGTCCTTATATAGGGGAGGATTGCACACGATGGGGTTCTTTTATAGAGCTGGCAAAGAGAAATTTAGGAAATTCCCATCAGCAGCTATAAAGAAGAGTGAGACCCATTGCTTTTTTTTCCCCCTCCTCTAAAATAGCTCTTCCTAAAGATGTAAATAGATCCCTTCTAATGCCCTAAAACAGAAAAAGAAACAGCTTTTTGTGGAGTTATCAAGCCATTCAGTTGCCTGGGTTTAACATGGCTAACATGTGGGGAGGATGAAAAATCTATGATCAATTGTCTCCCCATTTGAGTCCTCCTTCCTCAAAGCCATCATGGTAATAATGACTGCAGTAGCAGCTGTGACTCGCTCCCAGATTCCTGTTCAGTACTAAGACGCCCAGCCTCCAGCTGCCGGGAGCATTAGATGCCGAAGGCTCACAGTTCTGTGTCTTCAGGTCTTGCGCTCAGCTGAAGGGAGCTGACCTGCTCAAGATTTCGTCCCTCCCCAAGAGCAGCCCACAATACAACAGCTGGTTGGTGCCGGGGTACAGAGGCCTGGACAATTTTGGAGGGCCATCCCAGCTCCCTGGAGCATCTTCAGAGGCCTTGTATGGCAACTGCATCATAGTTCAACTTCTCCCTCTGTCAAATCCTGTGTACCTCCCAGCTCACAGGTGTTGATCCTGCAAGCACTTTCCAAACAAATGACCTGCATACACTTCTCCATCTCAGAGTCGGCTTCCTGGGCAAACTGACTTAAGACATTGAACATGAACAGGAAACCTGGGACGTCCCAGGATCTTCATATGCTTCATATCTAATCTGCTCAGCATCTCTACAAAGTGGGAGTCATTAACTGTGTTTTACAGATAAAACTGAAGCTCAGAGAGGTTGCATTCCTTGCCTAAAATCACACAGCCCCTGGGCTGTCAAGTCAATATTTGCAGAAGGCCTCTCTAGTTCTTCAGCCTTAAATTCCACACAATTTGCTACATGCATGGCACTACACTAGACTCCATTGATTCTAATCACATATACTTTATATAAAGTATAACTTTCACTCAAATAAGGAAAAACAGTATTTTAAAGACTAATGGGCCGGGGGTGGTAGCTCACACCTGTAATCCCAGCACTTTGGGAGGCAGAGGCAGATGGATCACTTGAGGCCAGGAGTTCCAGACCAACCTGGCCAGCATGGTGAAACCTTGTCTCTACTAAAAATACAAAAATTAGCCGGGCGTGGTTTTGCATGCCTGTAATTCCAGCTACTTGGGAGGCTGAGGCAGGAGAATCGCTTGAACCTGGGAGGCAGAGGTTGCAGTGAGCTGAGATCGTGCCATGCACTCCAGCCTGGGTGACAGAGTGAGACTCTGTCACACACACACACACATACACACACACACACACACACACACACAAACACACAAAAGACTAATGGAACACATCTACAAAGGGGTAGCACAAGAGAGTTTCTTTGTGGCAATAGAACAAATAAGGTCTATAGTTTAGTTAATAGTATTGTACTAATGCCAGTTTCCTGGTTTGGATAATGTGCTATGATCATGTAAGACATTATCACTGGGGAAAGTTCGGTGACAAACATAAAGGAAATTACTCACTGTACTATTTTCACACCTTCTTTTGAGTGTCAGATTTCAAAATAATATGTTAAAAAGTTTAAAACAAAAAAGGAATAATACATCAGAGATCCTGATGTCTTAAGAAAAATAATCTTCAAAAGGGATTTTAAAAGGTATTTCACAATAATTGCCAAAGAATAATATTAGTTACCAATAAATACTTAATATCAAGGCTTTTCTATGATTACTGAAGGTTAAGAGAGTCTTTTTCCCTGTAGACTAAAGATGTGAGATTTTGGTGACTCTGAAGTTTCCTTCCTACTTGCAGTTTCAAATAAAGACATGCTGGACAATAACCCTGCCCATCTCCTAAAAAAGCGGAAGAGAATACACCAGTTACCCTCCCCCTTTCACAACTGCTTCCCAACATGGGCTTCTTTGTTTTGTTTTGATTTGATTTGTTTTGTGATGGAGTCTTGCTCTGTTGCCAGGCTGGAGTGCAATGGCGCGATCTCAGCTCACTGCAACCTCCACCTCCCTGGTTCAAGCAATTCTCCCTGCCTCAGCCTACTGAGTAGCTGGGACTACAGGTACACGCCACCGCGCCCGGCTAATTTTTGTATTTTTAGTAGAGACAAGGTTTCACCATGTTGGCCAGGATGGTCTTGATCTCCTGACCTCATGATCCGCCTGCCTCGGCCTCCCAAAGTGCTGGGATTACAGGCGCGAGCCACTGCACCCGGCCCCAACATGGACTTCTAGGCAGAAGCAAGGATGTGAGTACAAGGGCTTGTAACGGGAGCCTGTCCCCACCATTCTCTCCTGTCAGCCTCCAAGGCACTAGCCTCTTCCCATGGGCTGGCTTTAACCTCCCACTACTGGAATTAAAATCCCTCCTGGACCCCCAAGCAAAGGGGCTGACCAAACAGCAGGTGTCATCCTCCCAAGGCTAAGGTCCAGGGGCTGCTCCCCTGGAAGTCAGCCCAGCTCCTCCCCAGGTTAATTCTTCTGTCAATCACAGTGGCACAGTATGTCTGAGGGGTGAAGTGCAGAATAGTAACTAGAGGGGAGGAAGATCGTGGATGGTATGGCATTGGTATTAGGAGGAGGACTGCCACAACCTGGAGAGGGGAAGGTATGTACAAAGAGTGGAACAAAACTGGGTAATGATTTCTTGGATATGATAACAGAAGCAGAGGCAACAAAAGCAAAAATAGACAAACAGATATCAAACTAAAAAATCCTCTGCACAGTGAAGGAAACAATTAAGACTGAAGAGACAACCCATGGATTTGGAGAAAATATTTGCAACCATACATCTGATAAGAGGCTAATATCCAAAAAGGAACTCAGGGGTTAGGCGCAGTGGCTCACACCTGTAATCCTAGAACTTTGGGAGGCTGAGGCAGGAAGATTGCTTGAAGCCAAGAGTGCAAGACCAACCTGGGCAATATAGCAAGACTGTCTATACAAAAAGTTTTAAAAAAAATCAGCTGCATGTGGTGGCATGTGTCTGTGGTCCCAGCTATTAGGAAGGCTGATGTGAGACGATTGCTTGAGCCCAGGAGGTCAAGGCTGCAGTGAGCTATGACCACACCACTGCACTCCAGCCTGGGTGACAGAGACCTTGGCTCTAAGAAAAATAAAACAAAACAAAACCCCCACAAAATGTATAAGGAACTCAAACAAGTAAATAGTAAGAAAATTTAAAAACCAACTTTAAAATGGCAAAGGATCAGAACGACATTTCTCAAAACAAGATATACAAATGGCCAACAGATAAACAACAAGAAAAATGCTCAACATCTCTAATCATCAGGGAAATGCAAATTAAAATCACAATATTTCCTTACACCTGTTTAAATGGCTATTATCAAAAAGAAAAAAGTAAGTGTTGGCCGGGATGTAGAGAAAAGGGAACCCTGGTACACTGTTGGTAGGAATATAAATTAGTATGGCCATTTTGGTTATTTATTCATCTATCCATCTATTTCTAGAGATGGGGGGGTCTCACTATGTTGCCCAGGCTAGATTCGAACCCCTGGCCTCAAGCAATCCTCTCACCTCAGCCTCCTAAGTAGCTGGGGTTACAGGCATGAGCTACCACATCCAGCTGGTGTAGCCATTTTGGAAAACAGTATGGAGTTTCCTTAAGAAGCTAAAAATAGAACTACCATATGATCCAGCAATCTCACTCTGGGTATATACCCAAAGGAGTTGAAATCAGTATGTCAAAGAGATATATAGATCCTCATGCTCATTTCAGCATCATTCACAATAGCAAAGATATGAAAACAACCTGTCTATCAACAGATAAATGGATAAAGAAAATTTATATATACACATGATAGAATACTATCTGGCCTTAAAAAGGAGGAAATTCTGTCATTCATGGTAACATAGATAAACCTGGAGACCATTATGCTAAGCAAAATGAGCCAGGCACAAAAAGATAAATGCCAAATGATCTCACTTATCTGTGGAGTCTAAACAAGTTGTTAGAAACAGAATGGCAGCTACCAGAGGCAGTGAGGCTGGGCAGGGTTGAGGAAAGGGGAGATGTTAGTCAAAGGATACAAAGTTTCAGTTAGGAAGAATAAGATCTGATCTTGCACAGTGAGGTGACCATAATCCATAATAATATATTGTATATTTCAAAATTGTTAAAAGAGTAGATTTTAAACATTCTCACCACAAAAGAATAAGCAGGTGAGGTGATGGCTGTGTTAATTAGGTTAATTTAATCTTTCTGCAATGTAGAAATGTACATATCAAAACCACATTGTATCCCATAAATATATACAATTATTATTTGTCTCCTTAATTAATTATTTTAAAGAGTGCAAGGTAAGATTCTGGCTCGGTCCCATTCATGAATATCTCCATGTATCTCACCAGAAAAGTTTTTAAGTACAGGACACTTTTAAACTCATGGTGGCATTTATATATTTTCTAAAATTTTAATTGGTATTTGAAAGTTCTACTTTGATCTTTGGCACCAAGTACTGACAATTATTTTTCTTGATGTGACAGGCTCTCTTTATTCATTTTTGAGGAAATCTCTGCTAGATATCCAAGTCTGAATAACTATAGTCTGTCACTTCTTCCTTCAAGTAAAAATGGTGTCCCACAGAAAAGGCAGCTAATTCAGCTTGTAACTCATTCACACAGGTGTTTTTACCTGAGACATCCATCCTACTTCAGTATACGGAAATGTTTCATGCATAATTCCTATTCCATTACACAGAATATTTAAAAATACATGTACATGCACTCAAGGGTCAAAATTTAACAATTTTTACTGCCTCATCAAAGACATTCTTAAACGAAACTGGCTTTTCTTTTTCCTTTCTTTACAATGAGTACATGATGATGAAAGTCCAATGACTAGTAGTACAGTTTGGTGCCATTTGATTTTTTTTTTTTTTTTTTTTTTTTTTTTTGAGACAGAGTCTTAATGCTGTCACCCAGGCTGGAGTGCAATGGCACAATCTTGGCTCACTGCAACCTCTGCCTCCCGGGTTCATGCGATTCTCCTGCCTCAGCCTCCTAAGTAGCTGGGATTATGGATGCCTGCCACCTCGCCCGGCTAAGTTTTGTATTTTTAGTAGAGACAGGGTCTTGCCATGTTGGCCAGGCTGGTCTCAAAGTCCTAATGAGAGGTGAAGCCAGCTGGACTTCCTGGGTCGAGTGGAGACTTGGAGAACTTTTCTGTCTAGCTAAAGGATTGTAAAAGCACCAATCAGCACTCTGTAAAAACATACCAATCAGCGCTCTGTTTCTAGCTAAAGGATTGTAAACCCACTAATTAGCACTCTGTAAAAACCCACCAATCAGCACTCTGTGTCTAGCTAAAGGACTGTAAATACACTAATCAGCACTCTGTAAAATGGACCAATTAGCAGGACGTGGGTGGGGCCAAATAAGGGAAAAAAAGCTGGCCACCCAAGCCAGCAGCAGCAACCCTCTCGGGTCCCCTTCCATGCTGTGGAAGCTTTGTTCTTTCGCTATTCACAATAAATCTTGCTACTGCTCACTCTTTGGGTCCACACCACCTTTAAGAGCTGTAACGCTCACTGCGAGGGTCCGCGGCTTCATTCTTGAAGTCAGCAAGACCAAGAACCCGCCAGAAGGAATAAATTCCGGACATCCTAACTTCAGGCGATCCACCCACCTTGGCCTCCCAAAGTGCTGGGATTACAGGCGTGAGCCACCGCACCCGGCCAGGTGCCACTTGATTTATGCAAATGCCGTTACATTCATTCAGCAATGGTTTTGCATCATCAGTGCAAATGTCAACACAGTGAACAAGGCAAATCACCTCTTAGGGTTGTGCTCACCCTCCCAGGGGTGGTAGTGGTAATGTTCTGCTTTGTGATTGGTTGAATTCACTTTGCAACAATTCAAAAAGCCATACACTTGTTCACTTCTCTGCAGTATATTTTTTACTTTTATTAATTTTTAAATTTTTATTTAAAATTTTATTTTAAAAGGGGTTTGTAGATCATACTTTGAGAACTGCTGTGGCACAACAATGAAAGCAGGGATGGGGATAGCATTTGCTTGGGAGAATGTGGGAAGGATGCCTGCAGGACTGGTCCATCCCTTTGAGCTGAGACAGGAAAGAGGAATGGAAATTTTCTGTGGGAATAAAAGGGAAGCTGATAAGCTGGGCAGAGGGAAGAGCATGTGCAAAGGCTTAGAGGCATGACAGACAACAGGGTGCAGAGGGAACCTCAGGGAAATCAACGTTCTTACTGCAAGCAGCTCAGTGACCACCACAGCCCAGCCTCACACCTTCACAGTTCACCATCCAGGAATAAAAGTCCACTTATCAGCACTTAATTCGTGCCTGGCACAGTTCTACGCACTCATTTAATCTTTGAAATCACCCTATGGAGTAGATGCTGTTATTATCTCCTTTTACAGAAGAGGAAATTAACACAGGAAACAGAGAGGTGTAATAACTCATACCAGATCCCACTACCTAGTAAGTGACACAGCCAGGATTGGACACAGATGGCCTGACTCCAATCTGCTATGATATACCCTTTCTCATGAGGAGGAGAGATACCTATCCAATTTCCCTTCCAATTTGGGAAATCCCAGTGGGCCCACCTAGGCCACATGCCAATCCCTGGGACCGATCCTGTCAGGGGACACATGCGCACCTCCACTGGGTACATATCCAACCATGGAGGACCACACCATGGACACTATACAACAAGAATGAAGGGTCTATAACAACACCCAGCAACATGGATGATGTGTGTCCCTAACATCATACATCCTGTACAACACAGTACATCCTGTGAGATTCCATTTACAACATAAAGCTCAAAATCAAGCAAAGCGATTCTGTGCCATTCTAAGCCAGGACTGTGCTCACCCTCTGGGGGGGTGGCGGTGGTAATTCTGTTTTGTGATTGGTCAAATTCACGTTGCAACAATTCAAAAAGCCATATACTTGTGCATTCTCCTGCAAGTATATTTTTTCACTTTTATTGACTTTTTAAATTTTATTAAGCCTGTGGTATAAAAAAATTAAAAGAGTGAATAAAAGAGTTATGAAGGGGTTGTATTTAGCCAGGGTGGCAAATGGGCTTCTCAGGGTGAATAAAGGATGTATGCCCCACATCCTAAGGCATAAGTGGAAGAATAATGAAAACCCAAGGATGACTGGGCATCATGTTTCAAACGGTTTTTAAAGAACATTTTTTCAAGTTTCACTCATTTGCATTACAAAGCAAAAGGAAATGACCAGAACACAGAAGTGCCAGCTTTTTCCAATTAGGCAGCTTGCTGGACTGCGTGGGCTCCACCACCCCCTGCCACCCTGGGGATAGGTGGGCACTGGGCAGAGGGGGCAGAACGTGCTGAGCCCAATGCCTCCCTGTACCTATCACATTCCTGGGGGCTTTGCTGTGTTTTATAGGTTATAGATGATTTCTCAACCTTTTTAACCTATGTTCCCTTCTTTAGCAGCTGTAAATATCTCACACTTTAATGTTATGTGAAATTTCAAAATTAATTAAATATTATGACAAAAAGCAAAGCCGGGCCCCAGGACAAAGTGCCGCTTTGTTTTCGAGCTGCCTGTGAGGCCCCTACCAAGGCCCCAGAGTGTGTGCTTGCCCTCCCCTCTCCTCCCCTGGCCCCCATGAGAAGCCTTGATTTATAAATTACAAGCCTTTTCATTTCCTCCAGGTTTTTGATGAGAGATTTGGGGATGCGGCCACCAGGTGGACGCCATGCTAAGCATTTACGAGCTCGTGGTCTGGCTTCCCAGAGGGATGGGGACTAAGAAGCAGACGTACCTACTTTGTTTCTAATAAAACCCACAACTACAACTCCTTACTTATTAACTAAGTATCATTTCATGGTAATAGCTACTATTTATTGGGTGCTTCCCCTGCGCCACACACAGTTTGAGATGCTTCCCACCCATTCCATAACTCAATTCTTACCACAACCCTATGAGGGAGAGAGTGTCATCATCTCTGCTTTATGGCCGAGGAAACCTATGCTCAAGAGTGATCGTGTGACCTGCCCAAGGTCTCACAAGGAGAAGGCGAGGATTCAGAATAGAGATCCCGGTTAGGCTGGCCCCAAAGTGCAGGTCCTTGAGAAGCAGGCCATGTAACTATTTGGCAGAGCCAGGATTTGAACCCTTGCTGTTTAAGTCCAGAGCCCCCACATGTTACACCACACCTCTAATTATTAGAATAATTGATGATTGCTTGGGCATGGGTTCTGCACGGGAGCCTTGAGCCTCACTGTCCAGGGCAGTGCCTGGTCCTCCAGGCTTACTGGGTCGAGCTGGAAATCTGACCTCAGAAGTGAGGTTAGAAGGGGCCAGGGCCACATTATGCAAATAAGCAGCCTGGCATGGCCATCCCAGGAGAGGAAAATAGGATGACCCCAAAATGGTCCAAGTAGATCATTAAGAGAAATATGGCCTAAGATGATGAAGAGGAACAAACGGTTATCCTATAAGTAGACAACTCAAAATACATTCACGGGCATGCACACCCCTTATCCAGCTCCAAGAGAAGCTCAAAGCCAGCCCTCTTGACTCACACAAAGGCCAGGGGCCTCTGCTCCAGGAGGGCTGATGTGAAGATACAGCTGGTCTCCCAGAAATAAAGGGCCCCATAGAGTAACAGGGAACAAGCTGGCAGGACTTTTTGGAGCTGTGAAGAGCAGCTCTAGATGCCATCAGCCTGCAAGTGCCCGCCCCAAACGTGACATTCCTGCTTTCCTGCTGCCATTTTGGTCATCAGCCTCCCACCATAGACTATTACCTCGAGGTAATCCCCAGCCTCTTCCAGGCTGCAAACTGACTCCAAACACTGAGTCAGGATGGGCTCGAGGATCCATCACTTCTGGATGAGTATTCTTCCTTCCTTGACTTCTGCAGGGTCCCGAAGCTGCTCCTATAGGCCCCCTAATACAGAAGGGAGGCTTCTGGGACTCTTTCCCCTTTTTGGCATCCTCCCACTCCCCCATACATGGGGAAGCAGATTGTCCTGAGGGGTTGCTTACAACTTCTACACCCAGAAAGGCTGTCCACACACACCCTCCTGGGGAGAGGACCGCAGTTTCCATGAGTCAAATTAGAATCTAAGAAACAAATGCAAGTTTAATCATGTGCCAGCTTCCTGCTACATTTAGAGTGAGATTTAAAGAAATAAGAACACTTAGACGCAATTGGGTCACTGTCTCACAGATCTTCCAACTGTTATAAATCACTGCCTAAAATTAGCAAATGTGAGTAGTTCTAGCTCCTTGCTACTCAAAGGGTGGTCCCTGGACCGGCAGCATGAGCTTCACCTGGAAGTTGTTGAAAATGTGTACACTCTCTCAGGCCCCACCCAGACCTACAGATGCAGAATCCACATTTTTACAAAATCCTCAAGTGGTTTGTGCATACATTAAGGTTTGAGGGGCACTGCTCTCACTCACCCAGCATCCCTTGTTCCCGGCCAGAGTGTTTTGCCAGACTGACACCAAAGGCTTTGTGAGATGCCAGAAGCCTCTGTGGCCACAGGTTTCCATCAACAGTCCTCTTCCTCCTGCACAGGGGGCCTGACCATTTCCTGCACACTGTGGAAGGTCTCGTCTGCCTTCTCAGTCCCCTGCATTCCTCTTGTCCTCCCTGTATCTCCCGTCTCTCCCAATTCTACTCAAGACCTCCGTATTAGCGTCTCCGATCATGCCCCACCCCCGACTCCCAACCTTAATAACTTTCAGGTTTACCCTTCCCCCACTGCTTGCTAAATGATGTCCAGGTTCGCTAACCTGAGATGTATTGATCAATTTGTCACTCCCTCTTCATCTCACTGTACTGTCCTCCCACGACCTGGACTCTATTACCCTTCTTGGCAGATTTTTGCTCACACATTTTGTCTGCCTTCAACACCTGACCACACATCTCTGCTATTGCAAAGCTTTTGGGTCCTTCAACACTGGCTGAAATGCTTCCTCTAAGTGGCCTTTCCGGCAGAAGGTAATGTCCTTCTCGGCAGTGCCCGTGTTTTCTTCCTTGTAACACTTGTCCCTTTCCAACTCCTATTAGAACGGTTGGTATATACACCTCCTGTCCCCTGCTACAGTGAACACATTAGAAGCAGGAATTACGGCTTATCCATCTTTGCTCCTAACAAAGATACTAATATACAGCAAGTCAAATCGCAAATTTGGGGCACGTCATGCAACCTCTCCCCTTGTTTTCCTATTTTGTGTATTTATAAGAGTTATTCTTCCTGTAAAAAGTCAGATTTTGCAGACTACCTTAATCCTGCCTCTGTCTTCAGAGATATAAACACAGTCACATGTGTCTTCTTTCTGCAAGAAGTGGCTGTTGTTTCCAAACAAGGGGCAGCTTTAAAAACTAGAAATGAGCTATCCGTGAAAACACTTTGCAAAGTCCTGTTTCATATCACAGAATGGACCCTGTGTTTTTATTCACCAGGAACTCTTCTCCCCTAGAGAAGGTGTAAGGTTACATTTTTGGAAGGGCATTTCTTGTCTTAAGACTCAGTTTGGCTCTGTTTATGGATTCTGTCATTCAGTTGTGATAAGCATTTTCTCAGAATCGTGATGCTACACCTCAAGTATTAAGAACATATTTAATGTATAGTTAATAAATTGCTTTTATGTAAAATATCAAAATTTATTTTATTTTTTGGAGACAGTCTCACTCTGTCGCCCAGGCTAGAGTGCAGTGGCGCTATCTCAGCTGTGATAGCTGAGGTTGATTATCACTGCAACCTCTGCCTCCTGGGTCCAAACGATTCTTGTGCCTCAGCCTCCTGAGTAGCTGGGATTACAGGCATGCGCCACCATGCCCAGCTAATTTTTTGTGTTTTAGTAGAAACGGGGTTTCACCATGTTACCTAGGCTGGTCTGGAACTCCTGGCAATCTGCCCGCCTTTGCCTCCCAAACTGCTAGGATTACAGGCGTGAGCCACCACACCCAGCCTCAAAATTTCCTTAAACAGAGCTATCTTGGAAAATCTAGACTATCTAATGGCTGAACAGACATTCATAAATGGTTGCTGAATAATGAGTGAATGAGAACAAGTCATTTCCCCTCAGTGCCGTGATGTGTTAATCCTCAGGTCTCCACTGTATGTAAGCTAAACAATGAATTTTGAGATGAGACAAGCATGTAGTTTAAGACAAATGGCCTGATGAAAGCAGGAATTAAGAAGAGCGGTTGCTGGCCCAAGGAGACCACGTGACGTGACTCTGAAGTAATGAGGCTGGTTTCCCCATGTGGCTGGTGAATCCGTTTTGTTGCTGTGTAGTCACACACATTCCCATCAGGCCTCAGTGGCAAATGTGCTGACAGAGGACTCTGTTTCCCAGGCTGATTAAAGCCTGGCCAACATCTAAGCTGCCACTGAAAACTCAGGCAATTAGGAAGCAGTGGAGTGTGTCCTTGGCAGGGAAGGAGAAGCACCTACCAGACTCAGCTGCAAAGGGAGTGGCTGATGGTGCAGGTGGGAGAAATGCAATCAGATTTCTCTCATTTTGGCCAAATTTGCCAAACCAAATTTGCAGCTTAAAATTGACGGTCTGGGGCTGGGCACATTGGCTGTAATCCCAGCACTTTGGGAAGCCAAGGTGGGCAGGTCACTTGAGGTCAGGAGTTTGAGACCAACCTGGCCAACATGGTGAAACCCTGTCTCAACTAAAAATACAAAAATTAGCTGGGTGTGGTGGCGGGCACCTCTAATCCCAGCTACTCAGGAGGCTGAGGCAGGAGAATTGCTTGAACCCAGGAGGTGGAGGTTGCAGTGAGCCAAGATCTTGCCACTGTACTCCAACCTGGGAGACAGCACAAGACTCTGTCTTAAAAAAAAAAAAGTCTTTTTTACCATGACCCCACTGAGGAAGCTTTTGTTTTGGGGCTGTGTAGCATAGAATTACCTGTGCAAGAAGGAAAGACAGCTGCTAGAACTACCTGACGCAGGGATCATTGGTGCTTAGGTCTGTTCCTGCAGAACTGGGCTGAGCCCCCTTCCTGGCTTTGGAAGATGACTAAGTGAGCTGGACCATTCTCTGTGCCTTGTAAAGATCTCAGAACATGGGGGTGCCTCATCTGCTTGAACAGTCCTGTGGAAAACTTAGAAAAACCACAGTTAGTTCACAAGCATTAGCAGACAAAAATCAGATTTTCAAAATCACTAAAGTCTTAATAAAATAATGAAGTGGAAAGTATTTGCTTTATCTTTTTTAAAGAGAAGTTACAATGCTTACTTCTCTTTTTAAACAATGTTGTAAGCTTTAGATATTATCTTAGCAGCAGTTCTCCTGGGAAGAGCCAATAAACAAAACGCCTGTGATATTTTGTCATTGGAAATTCAGCTAGAAAAACAAAACTCAAGCAGTTTTAGTGTTTGGTCACCGAACAGACTCTGGTTTTAATTATAAACACCAGCATTTTCGAAGATCTGTCTCTAGATGCCAAATGTATCCAGAGCTGAGGGTGGGCACCCTTGCAGAATTTACCATAAGAAGCCTGGACAAGTGAAACACCCAGCATGTCCTACCTATAACTGACTACTGTACTACCAAATGGAAGTTCTGGCTAATTAGTTTGGAATTGTTTCCCTTAAAGCCTTAATAGAATGAAAATCAGCTAAATTAACAGCTAGAGAAACAGTCACAACTAAATTACTTCCCACTGTTCCCAATTAAGTTGGAAACTTTGGGTGCAGTAACCACCAACATCACAAATTACGAATCTTTGCCAGAGATGAAGGCCTTCAGTTTTTCTTAGACCCATCAATAGCCTTTGCTAACAGAATTAGGTAACTGAATGTATGCAGAAAAATGGAGTAAAGTGAGCCATTTAAAAGCATTAATTGATTCAATGACACATTTCAGGCCAAAGGCTAGGTGCAGGTAAGACTTGAAATATGCGGCTCACATGGCAGACCTCCACATAAGAAGAAAGCAATGACTTGTTTATAATTTCCATTCCAAGCACACTTGAGGAATCATTGCCTTCTGAAATCAAAGAGAAAAACGATCAGACTGGCCAATCACGCTGAACCCTTTGGCTCTTCTGCCATTGTTGGTAGCTTTGGGTTACTGAGGTCAAACTAACTATGATGTCAATATTTACAAACCAGTTTCCAAAAACTGATTTGTAAATTAGGATTGCTCTCCAATCCCTAAGAGAGGCATCATCTTAAGGGAAAAGGACAGAACCTTTGCTCTAGTAAGTATATCTTGATGTCCATTAAAAGGCTATCAACAGACTGCAGTTAGTTTGTGATTTTGGTGGCTCTAGGAAGGCTCTAATGCCCCCAACCCCATTCCTTCCCAATTTTGGTACCTGTCCAAAATTGTGCTATTGTAGCTGCATGGCTTTGGACTTGGGCTGACATTCCTATTAAAGATGCCCCGAAGGAGAGAAACTTGGCTATTACTACCTATGAAGGACCTAAGCAGGCCTAGCACTATGGAAACTATAAAAGTGAGTGAGGTCAGTTTCTGAATCTGATTTTGCCATCCAGCCTGCCCCACGCATCTTTCAGTAAAGCTCCTTTATTCCCATCTTGAGTCCCAGGGCTTTGATGTATATCCTTCCTTTATCACATCATTGAAGATCTTTGGTTTTACAAAGATATAAGTGACTGATACAAGTTTGGTGTGTTAGTCCTCCAAAGAACTTTTGTATTTACCAAGATCCAAAGCCTGAACATGGAAAACCAAAGGAGTTTCAGGGAGCAGCCAGCGACATGCCCAAAACTGTTTGCTTTTTGTCTGTAAGTAGATTTTGTCCAGGTAGCCTTTGGGAGCTGGTCCCTAATGATGAGCCCCAGTGAACACCTGGTATTCTCACTCTTGTGTAGTTCTGTGTAGTCCCACAGGGCTGCCCTGTGGAGAACGTACTTTGTTTGATTTCAGTTCTTTTACACTTATTGAGGGTTGTCTTACGATCTAGTGAATGATTTATCCTGAAGAATGTTCCATGTATACTTGAGAATAATATATTCTGCTGTTGTTAAGTGTTCTATAGATGTATGTTATATCTAACAGATGATAGTGTAGTTCAAGTCTGCTATTTCCTCATTGGTTTTCTGTGTAGTTGTTCTGGCCCATGATTTGATGTAATCAATAGAAGATGTGAAGACCTGACTAAAACAAAAAGGCCAAGTAAGAGGGAACTCCTTCTGCCTGAGTGTTCCAGCTGGGATATTGGTCTTTTCCTGCCGTTGAGCTTGAACTGAAACACTGGCTCTTGGGTCTCAAGCCTGCTGATGTTCAAATTGTAACTTACGTAATTTGACTCTCCTGGATCTCAGGCCTTTGGGCTCAAACTGGAACTACAGCATTGTCTCTCCTGGGTCTCCAGCTTGCTGACTGCAGATCTTGAAACTTTTCAGCTTGCCTAATCATGTGAGCCAATTCCTTGCAACACACACACACACACACACACACCCTATTGGTCCTGTTTCTCTTAAGAATCCTAATTCAGAAGGTGTTAGAGGGACATTCGGGGATTTTTCTTGAGAACCCAACCCTAATTCAGGAGGTGTTAGAGTGACATTCTGGGATTTTTGAACCAAACATTGAGATGGCATGGCACACAACAGGAAGCTGCATATCATAACACAGCAGTGACTATTGCACTTTTAGGAGTCCCGAGTGACCATACCAGAAGTCTAGCTAGCCTGCTGACAGAGCACAAGGGGAAGAAGAAGCGCTGCCATTGCATGGAGAAGGAAAAGACCCAGATATGCTGGTGTTCTAGTTGAGCCTCTAGATGACTGCCTATAGCTAATGTCCCCTGGATCCAGATGTGCATGAAAGTCTACCCCTGGACCCTATAGGTTCATGAATGGTCCCCACCAACCACATGTATAGGTAGATAAGCCTGTGTTTTCCTTAAACAAGTCTTACTTGGCTTTCTTGTAACTTACAAGCAAGAGTCTTGCTCCTAATAGGATAAGTAAAGAACTGAAGTTATTTTGGAATTATTCTGTTTGAATATACTGTATTTTAATTCTGGCTTAATTCTAGGACTGAACTATGTAGATCATGGCTTTTAAAGCATTACAATGAGCATTTGCTTAATACATACATTGACTTTAATCCTGGTAGAAAAAATCCTACAAGGTAAATGTAGAATTTACCTGTCTTAGATGCTGAGATGAACATTTGCATGTAGGAGGTTTATTGGGAATGCTCTCTAAAACAACACTGTAAAAAACAAAAACAAAAACAGGATGGGGCAGAGAGAGAGGCTGAACACCTGTGCAGTCACAACAAAGGTCACAGCAGGTCCCACAGAAGCTCTAGAGCTGGGATAACTTCAGAATTGCCCTGACCTGAGATGAGACTGTTGAGCCTTTGAGTCCTTGAATCAGCTCAGGCACTCTGGGGACGTGTGTAACCTTGGGTGAGGTAGGTCCCTCAGCCACGGCAGCACCCAGGAAAGGCCTCAGTTTTAAGCCATCACCAGTCAATACCCTCAACAGCTGGGGCAATGAATATCATGATCAAGAAGGGGCATCTGGGCAGTGTGCCCCATCCTCCATAACAGTCCTTATTCATTTTACAGCCTGGATCTAAATCCTAGTCTTTCTGGCTCCAAAGTCCTGATCATCTCCACTGCATGTCCTTGTTACCACCACTGTCAGGCTGGTGACCCATTCTGGGAAAGCTAAGATCCTGTTGTTCTGTCCACCTTCAACTGCAAGTATGCTTCTATATTAGTCTGTTCTCACACTGCTAATAAAGACACATCTAAGACTGGGTAATTTATTAAGGAAAGAGCTTTAATAGACTCACAGTTCCACACAGCTGGGGAGGCCTCATCATGGCAGAAGGAAAAAAGAAGCAAAGGCACGGCTTACATGGCAGCGGGCAAGAAAGAGCATGTGCAGGGGAACTGCCTTCATAAAACCATCAGATCTCATGAGACTTATTCACTACCATGAGAACAGCACAGGAAAGATCTGCCCCCGTGATTCAGTTACCTCCCACCAAGTCCCTCCCATGACAGATGGGAATTATGGGAGCTACAATTCAAGATGAGATTTGGGTGGGGACACCGCCAAACCATATCAGCTTCCATCAGACTCACAGCTAGAGTTCATAGCTGGAAGGCAGATTCCACCAAGTAGAAAGATGTAGCTACTACTGACCAGTACTAGTACATGTCACAGTTCCCAGGTAGCCTATTAAGAAATGGCTTATGTTGAGTAGAAATTTACAAACAAAATGATGAGGGGAAAAAAAAAAACTCCACAACTTCATAGGAATCTTTCCAGCAATACCAAGCACAAATAAACAGAAAATGTTATTTCACTTTGCCAACTAGCTCAGACAGAATTTAAGGAGGAAAAGTTATTAGTTAAGCTTGAGAGGAAACTGGCAAGAAATGTATATGGCCTGAGGCATCCTTGTTCAAGAGCAGAACTGAATGTCCTTTCAATTCACTTGCTTATGCTGCAGGATGACCCCTCTCCTGACCCTACTCCACCCCTACTCTCAAGATCTATTTCTCTTCTTTTTTTCTCCCCCAGCTCCATGACCCACCTCATACATAGAATTTGGCATCTTGTGCAGTGCCATGCTGGACATTGTGGCTGTGTCTGCTCAGTCCTTCTTGCTGGGATCTGCTTCTCTGTCCGCTCCAGCCACATGGTTCTAGTGAGGGCCCTGGCCACCTGCCCTCAGAGGTGCACACTTGACCCAGCTTGTGATGGTTAATACTGAGTGTCAACTTGATTGGACTGAGGGATACAAAATATTAATCCTGGGTGTGTCTATGTGGGTGTTGCCAAAGGAGATTAACATTTGAGTCAGTGGGCTGGGGAAGGCAGATCCACCCTCAATCTGGTGGGCACAATCTAACCAGCTTCCAGAGAATATAAAGCAGACAGAAAAACATGAAAAGGAGAGATGGGCTGAGCCTCCCAGCCTACATCTTTCTCCCGTCCTGGATGCTTCCTGCCCTTGAACATCGGACTCCAAGTTCTTCACTTTTGGGACTCGGACTGGCTCTCCTTGCTCCTCAGCTTGTAGCCTATCATGGGACCTTGTGATTGGGTAAGTTAATACTTAATAACCCCCCCTTTAATTTGCTTGCTTAAACTCATATATATATATATATATATATATATATATATATATATATATACACATACACACACATACATATATATATTTATACATATATATATATATTTCCTATTAGTTCTGTCCCTCTAAGAGAATCCTGACTAATACACAGCTGTTCTCTGGAATGTTTTGGCATGCAACTAAGGAAAGAGATGCAGCTCCTCTTTGATAGTAAAGATTGAGACATAAAGGCAGTGTGTGAAAAATAAAAACAAAAATCTGATGCCAACACATAGAGAAAGGGAGAGGTGAGACAGAGTGCTAGTGGCATGCCACTCCCTGGTTCTAGATGTCCCCAGATCAACCACATCCCTACCCCCTTGGAGACTGGTTATGTGAGCCTCAAATATCTGCCCCTTTGCCAAAGCTAATCAGAGTTGGATTTCTGTCCTCAGAGTTCTATTACACTGTAGACACCTAAAAATAAGTGGAGCCCTTCATCCCCAGGCAAGAGGATTCTTAAACAAGGAAAGTGGGTATCATCCTTAAGATCCCCCAAGAAAACCCTACTCTTTCTTTCATAGCCTTTATTCAATATTTAAGTGTATTAGTCCATTTTCACACTGCTGATAAAGACATACCCGAGACTGGGCAATTTACAAAAGAAAGAGGTTTAATGGACTTATACTTCCTCATGGCTAGGGAGGACTCACAATCATGGTGGAAGGCAAGGAGGAGCAAGTCACATCTTACATGGATGGTAGCAGGCAAAGACAGAGAGCTTGTGTAAGGGAACTCCTCTTTATAAAACCATCAGATGTCATGAGACTTGTTCACTATCACGAGAACAGCATGGTAAATACTTCCCCCCATGATTCAGTTACCTCCCACGGGGTTCCTCCCACAACCCGTGGGGATTCAAGATGAGATTTGGGTGGGGACACAGACAAACCATATCATTCTGCCCCTGGTGCATCCCAAATCTCATGTCCTCACATTTCAAAACCAATCATGCCTTCCTAACAGTCCCCCAAAGTCTTAACTCATTTTAGCATTAACTCAAAAGTCTACAAAGTCTCATCTGAGGGAAGGCAAGTCCCTTCCACCTATCAGTCTGTAAAATCAAAAATGAGTTAGTTACTTCCTAAATACAATGGGGATACAGGCATTGGGTAAATACACCCATTCCAAATGGGAGAGATTGGCCAAAACAAAGAGGCTACAGTACCCATGCAAGTCTGAAATCCAGCAGGGCAGTCAAATCTTAAAACTCCAAAATGATCTCCTTTGACTCCATGTCTCAAACCCAGGTCATGCCAATGCAAGAGGTGGGTTCCCATGGTCTTGGGCAGCTCCACCCCTGTGGCTTTGCAGGGTACAGCCTCCCTCCTGGCTGCTTTCATGGGCTGGCGTTGAGTGACTGCAGCTTTTCCAGGCAAATGGTGCAAGCTATTGGTGGATATACCATTCTGGGGTCTGGAGGACGGTAGCCCTCTTACAGCCCCAGTGGGGACTCTGTATGGGGGCTCTGACCCCACATCTCCCTTCTGCACTGCCCTACCAGAGATTCTCCATGGGGGTCCCACCCCTGCAGCAAACTTCTGCCTGAGCATCCAGGGATTTCCATACATCTTCTGAAATCTAGGTGGAGGTTCCCAAACCCCAATTCTTGACTTCTGTGCACTCACAGGCTCAACACCACATGGAAGCTGCCAAGGGCTGGGGATTGCACTCTGAAGCCATGGGCTGAGCTCTATGTTGGCCCCTTTCAGCCATAGCTGGAGCAGCTGGGACATAGGGCACCAAGTCCTTAGGCTGCACACAGCAGGAGACACTGGGCCCAGCCTACAAACCCACTTTTTCCTCCTAGGCCTCCGGGCCTGTGATGGGAGGTGCTGCTGTGAAGACCTCTGACATGCCCTGGAGACATTTCCCCATTGTCTTGGGGATTAACATTCAGCTTCTCATTACTTATGCAAATTTCTGCAGCCAGCATGAATTTCTCCTCGGAAAAATGGGATTTTCTTTTCTATCACATTGTCAGGTTGCAAATTTTCTGAACTTTTATGCTCTGATTCCCTTTTAAAACTCAATGCCTTTAACAGCACCCAAGTCACCTCTTGAATGCTTTGCTGCTTAGAAATTTCTTCCGCCTAAGGTTGCAGTGAGCCAAGATCACACCACTGCACTCCAGCCTGGCAACAGAGCAAGACTTGGTATCAAAAAAAAAAAAAAAGAAAAAGAAAGAAAGAAAGAAAGAAAAAAAATAAGAAATTTCTTCTGCCAGATACTCTCAAGTTCAAAGTTTCACAAATCTCTAGGGCAGGGGCAAAATGCTACCAGTCGCTTTGCTAAAACATAACAAGAGTCACCTTTGCTCCAGTTCCCAACAAGTCCCTCCTCTCCATCTGAGACCACCTCAGCCTGGATTTCATTGTCATATCGTTATCAGCATTTTGGTCAAAGCCATTCGATAAGCCTCTAGGAGGTTCCAAACTTTCCCACATTTTCCTGTCTTCTTCTGAGCCCTCCAAACTGTTCCAACCTCTCCCCATTGCCCAGTTCCAAAGTCCATTTCCACATTTTTGGGTATCTTTTCAGCAGTGCCCCACTCTACTGTCAAAAATTTACTGTATTAGTCTGTTTTCATGCTGCTGATAAAGACATACCCAAGAATGGACAATTTACAAAAGAAAGAGGTTTAATGGACTTACAGTGCCACATGGCTGGGGAGGACTCACAATAATGGCAGAAGGCCAGGAGGAGCACATCATTTCTTACACGGATGGCAGCAGACTAAGAGAGAAAGCTTGTGCAGAGAAACTCCTCTTTATGAAACCATCCGATCTCATGAGACCTATTCACTATCACAAGAACAGCACGGGAAATATTTGCCCCCATGATTCAATTACCTCCCACCGGGTCCCTCCCACAACACATGGGAATTCAAGATGAGATTAGAATGGGGACACAGCCAAATTATATTATTAAGTAACCTGGAGATGATGTATTTCCTTACTTTTCTCTTAGCCAACATGTCTTTCAAGCCTCCTCTCTAGAATGGAACCCTGATTCTCCACCATGTGTTGTCACTGGGTAGGCTTAAAAAGTACCACTAATACCTGAGAGGCCCTTGTTTGCATGAGCCATGGAGATAACTCTGTCCCTCGGCATCACTCCCCTGAATTGAACTCTGAGTTTTCCCATAGAAGATTCTCTGATTCAATGCCTACACTGCCCATGATAGAAACTCAGGAGAGAGTGGCAATAAAATCATGGAATTAGCTGATAATAGAAAACAGATCAGCACTCTTCAGATAACCAGTCTCCTTCTTTTACTTAAACACAGAGATTTTATCATCCTGTGGCTTTTTCTTCCCAAGCTTAGGAATCACAATGCATTTCAGCATTCTGCTTGGGTTTTATTTTTATTTTTTCCATGGGTCACAAGAACTTTGAATGCATAGGCTTAATCTTCATCCTTTCTTTATGTATCATAGCTTTCCATCTTCTTGGGAACTCTTTGGATCCTTCATTCTATCTCAAAACCTAGAGCCCAAACCTCAAACTGATACATGGGTGAGGACTTGAGCTGTGACAAGTGGAGTGGGGAGGTATTTCTCAGCTCTTATATGCCAGGCCATGAATACATCCAAGTATCAAGTTTGGGTTTAAAATAACATGGTGACCTTTCTGTCTACTCTTCTAGGACTTTCTGAGTCAAAACACATGCCCAGGGCTTCTTGGTAGTCTCTCCGGACATGAGAGCTACTTTCTCTGTTCATAAAATGAGGGGAGAGGGTGGTCAAGAGGGACTTGCTCATACCCAACATGGTGCCTGTGTCTCTGATGCTCTGACAAGGTTATCTGTCCAGGACCAAAACTCCTGCCTTGTTCTGGAGGCCTGTGTAAGCTCCAGGGTTTCTCTGGGAGCTCTTCGAAGATTTTTGAAGTGATAAATTGGGAGCGTCTGAGGGGGTCCCTCATTCTTTGGGGGCTCACCAGAGTTAGAATAGTTAGAATAGACCTGTTAGGGCCAGCTGTGATCCCAGTGACCACATTCACTCATAATCTCCATTTGGTTGGGCATTTCTGTTATGTCTTTCAGTACCCTTTCTGTGACAGAGCTAGGCCCTTCCTTGCTTCAAGGAAGAAAGGTTTGGGGAGCATGAAGA
The DNA here is from genome assembly GCF_000001405.40 of Homo sapiens. Lineage (NCBI taxonomy): Eukaryota > Metazoa > Chordata > Mammalia > Primates > Hominidae > Homo > Homo sapiens. The sequence continues at coordinate 32,843,070 of NC_000002.12, read as the reverse complement.
AGATGCAGGTTTCCACAACCCCCTGATCTTCTGCACCCCTACTGGTTTCCTCCACCCATAGAGGTGAGGAGAATCACAGCTGCCAAGAAGTTGAAGATGGTTCTCAGGGAAGGCTATGGGCGGTGGGGTGGGGCAGGTGGGTGGCGGGGCGGGGCAGGTGGGGCAGGGCTTTAGCTTTGGCAGCAACCTGACAATTATAGGACTCAATCTTGGCAAATGCAGTCAGCAGAGAATCAGGGCTGGTTTCAGTGTGTTGAGTCCAGTAGGCTTCCAGGAGGTTAAAAATGTCTGAGGCATGTGTTTGACAACCATTAACAAACCTAAAACAACAAAACCCTTTAGAGACACAAGAGAAAGGAACAATGTGACCAGTGACATTCTCAACTTCCCAAACACTCCTGGTTCAGAAGAGCTGGGAGACATGCAGTCTATTTTAGGGGTTTTATCAGTGACATTAAAAAACCAGTAACACATTTGATATTTCACTTCAATTATTTATCTAAGGAGCCCCTGGGTACGTACAGATACGGAACCATTGGTTGCACAGTAGCCCAGAAGACAGTGTGGGATGCGAGGCCCTAGGAGCTGGGAATTCCTTCTTCCTTGTTCTGACCCCTGCAACTGCTGCCAGAAAGGTTTATGAGCCCTCATCATTTATTATGTGACTTTTCTATATTTGGAAACACTTTGGGGGAAAATTTTCCACACTTAGAAAGTCATTACCCGAGTCTCCAGTACATACATTTTTCCACGCCCTTCTTTACACACGGAAAGGTTTATCATTAAGAATGTTCATTTTAAATGCAGTTGAAGCAGAGAGACACAGAGATGATCCCCGCTCCCCAGAGGTTCTGGTCCGTAGCAAGTGGCACACTCTGCCCCTCCTACGGGTCATTCGTGGTGGCTTTTGGAAGGCTGGATGGAGGTGGGGTGTGGGCAGCTTTTTCAGAGATGGAGTAAGTGTCCTCTGTGCTTCTGTGAGGAGGAACTTGGCTCAGGCTCTGAAAGGCTTCTATCCTTTCCTGCCTCATGCTGGAAATGAGCAAGTCACATAAGCAAGTCACATAAGCAAGTCAAGAAGGGTGTATTAGTCCCGTTTCACACTGCTATAAAGAATTTATAAATTTATAAATTTATAAAGGGAAGAGTTTTAATTGACTCACAGTTCAGCATGGCTGGGGAGGCCTCAGGAAAGTTACAATCACGGCAGAAGGTGAAGGGGAAGCAAGGCACCTTCTTCAGAAGGCGGCAGGAATGAGAAGGAATTCAGGAGGAACTACCAAACACGTATAAAATCATCAGATCTCGTGAGAACTCACTATCACAAGAACAGCATGGGGAACTACCCCCATGATTCAATTACCTCCACCTGGTCTCTCCCTTGACATGTGAAGCTTATGAGAATTACAGGGATTATAATTCAAGATGAGATTTGGGTGGGGACACAAGGCCTAACCATATCAAGGGGCTAACATGGTGAAACCCCGTCTCTACTAAAAAATACAAAAAATTAGCCAGGCGTGGTGGCGGGCGCCTGTAGTCCCAGCTACTCGGGAGGCTGAGGCAGGAGAATGGCGTGAACCCAGGAGGCGGAGGTTGCAGTGAGCCGAGATTGTGCCACTGCACCCCAGCCTGGGTGACAGATTGAGACTCCATCTCAAAAAAAAAAAAGTACAATTATTTCCTCTCTTCTTGTGACAAAAGTAGAACCTGTTGATTTCAGGAATATACAGGTAAGAAAAGGCAAAGGCACGTAAAGTTCCATCATCTTAGGGAAAATCACTATTACCACCCAACTTTCATCTACGCATGTATAATAATGAAAGTAGTAACTTACTGAGGGCCCAGCATGGGTCAGGAGCTGGGCTGTGTGGTTTATATCCACCATTCCACCTAACCCACACAACCGGTCTGCTGGTCACTCGACTGGGTCCCAGCATGGTGTGTGGATGGAGTGAGGGCTCCAGAGCCAGGCTACCCGGTTCCAAGCCCCACTCTGCCACTCATGAGTGTGTGATCTCCAGCAAGCTGGTTAGCATCTGTGCCTCAGGTCCTCACCTGTCAAATGGGGGTAATAACAACACAGGTGTCACACGGATTTTCAGGAGGATTAAATGAGTAAATAGGTGTAAAACACTTACTGCTTGGTACTCGCAAGTGCTCAACTCAGCAGAGTCACCTATTGTTTCCTTTGTAGAAATATGGAAGCATGCTCAGAGAAGTCAGTGACGTGGTTGAGATCCCACAAGCATTAACTGACAAAGCCAGATTTGAAACTTAAATCTCTTCTGAGTCCAGATCCTTTATGATAGAATATACAAGAGAGGCAGAGAAAAAAATCAGCATTCCCCCACTCCTTAACATTATTCTTTAAGTTGCATACATCTTCTGCTCACTGTATAATACTCCAGCCCTAGATGTGCCCTTGGCCGAGTCTTAGCCAGTGGGTAGAGACCTAGAGGAGTTAGCAAAGGCTCAGCTTTGTTTAGTGCAGTGCCGTCAAGCACAGGAACCCCTGGGCCTCTCACTGACAGGCAGATTCATTTCTAACAAGTCCCCAAGTGAGTTGATGCTGCTGGTCTGAGAACCACACTGCAGAGAGGCTTTGGGGAATTCTGGCCAGTGGATCTGCTTTCGCTGGGACCTTCCTGCTGCTGCCTCTTTGGTTTACACAGTTGCCTTCCATCTCCCCTTGTGTCCCGAGTCTGGAACTCAGAGTCCATCGGTACCACGCATCACAGCCTCCGAACTCCGGAGGCAGGTTCCTCTGCTGGAGCCCGGGTGGACTCACCTGGGGCCCACCCACCTGGGGGTGCCAGGTCACATGTCCCAGTCAGCAGTGTCAGCTCTGGGGGTTCTGCACAAACACTGCTAGGGTTGCTGCTGATCCCAACTGTCTGAAACACTTCAGGGGACATGTGTTTAGGATTCAAAAGAAAAGAAAGATTCACACTGGAGTCAAGCCAGTGCTGGGGGTGGTCGGGAGCATAGGAGGGTGTGAGGCCACAGCTTGGTAAGGGATCATCCACCTCCCACCAGCAAGCCCATGGCGTCAAGTCCTTCCGTTCTAAAACCTCTGGGGTCCTCAGCAATACACACCACTATTCCCATCTAGTGACCTCTGGGAGCCCATCCCTCAGACAGGACATCCTTCAGAATGTAAGGGAGGTCACCTTTGACACCCTCTGTGGAAACTCCAGGTAGTGGCGACTGAATATGAGACAAACTAAGAATTCTGAGTGCGGTAATCAGAGTGGGCATCATGTGAGTGGAATAGCCCCAGCTGTCCAAACCCCTAACATGAAGGAAAATTCTGTCTTAAAAAGGTCTTTCACTGATTTTTCCATGACGACTAGCTTTTCACTCAGTTGTCTGTCCCAACAGATACCAGTAGGTCCTGACAAAACCTAAATTATGGGGAGAGAGACCCTGGGAATTAGGAATTTCTTCTTGCCTTCTTCCTCAGGACACTCTGTTTCTACAGCAGGTGATATCTGTGAGGGCTGGTTCGGTTTGCTGCTATTTTCGACATTTTAGAATGAGTTTCCCTCACTTCTGGGGATTTTCCATGGGGACATAAATCTCTAAGCCTCATTCTAGCAAAGCGTCCTCATTGCTACCTCAATTGGGACAAGTGAAATATTTGGAAATTCCCATGGCCTTGGCCAAGACCTTGAAGGGGCAGGTTTTAAAAAGTTCTAGATTCCCTTCTTTCCATGGCAGCCAAGGGCACATTTCCCTAGCACAGCCAGTCCCCCTGGAAACAGCAAGCCCCTGAATTGGAGGCCCCTGGAAGCCTGCCTATGTAGGCCCAAACGTAGCATGAGAATCCTCAATGTACGCAAATAAGCAGAACAGGAAACTCATTTATTAAGCTAAGCCTCCCAGTGTTGGGGGGAAACTTCCTGTTATCAGACATCTGAGAACGGGGTCAGGCCTAGTCCCTCCAGCCCCTGTGACCAGGACCCTGGCTCAGAACCAGAAATCTGCCTGCTGGGCCTGCCATAGCAGGAACAAGGCTGATAGGAGGCAAGCTTGGCCTTTCATGTCAGGTCTGTCCCTTCCTGGCCGTGTGACCTCTTGGAGCCAATGTTTCTTTAAAATGGGGACAAGGATACCTCACGGGGCATTGCGAGAGTAGGGCAACGTATTTAAAAGTGATTTGAAAGCTGTCAAGTGTTAGTCCATGGATAATATCTGGGTTTATTATGAAGATTACACTAAATAAGAAACATACATATACACAGTGGTGTTCTGGTAAATGTTTAACAACTGGCTTTCTAGAGGGGAAAATGCCCCGGTGTTTAGCATTTGTCCATTTCCATGCTGTAATATTCCCACCAGGGCTCATTTCAAAGTACTAGTGTGATGTCACTGAATGTCAAGTTGAGAAGAAAGGTACAGAGTTGACCCCTCCGGGCTGGTGTGAGCCAGCGGAAGCACACCACTGTTCATATATTTCACTTCCTCTTATATAAAGCACTTAGCACAGTGCCTGGAAAACAGGGGTGTTGACCTCCTCGTCCTTCTCTTTCTATTTTCATTAGCTCGAGGTTCACCAGCAGATAGGGAAATGGCAGCCCCACCCTGTCCTGCTGAATCTGAATCTCCGGATGGTGTGTGTTTTAAAAGCTCCCCGGGGTGATTCTGCTACGCAGCCCTGAACAGGAACCGCAGCACCACGCGGCGGGCTCCCTGGGAGCAGTGACAAGGTCCTGCTTGTGTTTGCATCCCCAGTCCCAAAACAGGGCCCGTCCCATTTGGTGCTTTCCTAAATGAAGTGATGGAAACTCATTATCTGGAGCTAAAATGAAAGGGGTCAGACCTGCGGAGAAGAGTGAGGAGAGCAGGCCCCACCGATGGCCACGCACTTGCTGGTTTCTCTCCACTCTTCCGCAAGTCACCCCCATTGGCCTGGGCTGTCCCCATCACCACCAGCCAGGCTGGTTCTGCTGCTGCCCCCTCAGTCCTCTCTGCACAGTTCATCCTGTGGGGCCTGTGCCCACTCACTCCACCTCTCTGAGTTATCGCCTTCTGATCCTTGCAGCCCAGGGCCCTTTCCTGCCCCCTTTCTCTTATTACTGCATCTGTGGAGCTCTTCAAGAGCCACCCAGGACAGATGTGTCAGACTCAGACAAGGATGGGGGCTGTGAGCGCCTGTGTGCCTCTCCCCGCAATTTCCTCCTGCCCCTGCTGCCTTTTCCTGGGAGCTCTCCCCCTAGTACAGTGTGTGTCCCTAAGAGCCCTCAGTATATGTTCTTTGAATAAAGAAAAACAAGCTACTGGGAAGGGATAACAGGAAGGGAGGAGAGGAAGGCATTATAGGTGAATTAATTACTCCAGGAAAGACCTGAAGTAATTGGTGCTTCCTTGACCTGAGTATAATAGCAAAGGAAATTTGATTTTTAAGCCAAAAGTGTTCACGACTCCATCCATCACGGCATATATATGTCCCACCCATTTTTATGTTCTCTCTCAATCCTGCACGCCAATATAAACACCAGCTTCTTGTCCTTCTCAAGGTAACCCAGAGAAAATGAGAAGATAAATCCAAGGAGTAGAAAAAAATTCCTAAGTCATCTGTGTTAGGTACAAACACAATGACACAATTTTCCCAACTACTAGGTATAACAATTGTACTTCGGAGGAGAAAGGAGGAGCTTACGTGCAAATGGACTAGCGTAGAAAAATCCAGCTTTACGTGGTCCTGATGGCAGCATGCCTGAGCTGAAACATACCCTCAGACCAAGTGTGTCTTTTCTGATTTAAAGAAAAAGAGGAAGAGAATTACATCTAAAATAGCCTTTTGGACAGTGTGCTCAGCGCATAAGCACTAATCTGCACACACCCCTGTGAGTATCTTTTTACCCCATCTTGAAGATAAGGTAAACACACAGAGCCTTAGTTAACATGCCAGGCGCACACAATCAGTGAATAGCAGAGACAAAACTAACACAGGTCTCCTGACGGCAGAGCCTGTGGCTCTTTCAGCCATGGACATAGGTTCCAGACGTGGCTAACTGCCATCGCTTTACAGCAAGTCCTCCAAAACAGATCCTACCATTAGAGTTGCCAGGAGCACAGAGGGAGGGAAGCACTTTTCCTTTTCCTTTCTTCTAATGCCCTCCTTCATGGAAGTGAAGCACAAGAAGAGAGAGAAGGGAGGGACAGTGTTTTCAGCAGGGAAAAGGTGACCAGGAACCAGACAGAAATTCTTCAATTCACAGCTGCTGAGTCTACAGGCTCAAGACACCCAGAGGAATGATGCTAGCTCTTAAAAAATAATAAAGCTTAGAGGAAATAAATGATTATTTAAATTAAAATTAGAAGTATTACCTATACTTGGAATTCACCCCGTTGCCTCTGGATTCTGTCTCTGTTAATCCGTTCCGATGAGTCTTGCCCGACTTCTGCCCCAACCAACCTCAGCTAAAGTCCTGGAAGGGAGGGAGTGGGCCTTATTCAACTTAGAACCCTTAGGACCTTGCAGAGAGTTGCTGGCAGAGAGTATATTAAAAAAAAAAAAAAAGTTAAATTAGATTTTCTTTCTGCTACCTTTATTCTCAGGGTAACTTTTCTGCATCTTTCAACTAACTCTCATCCCAGGTTCCCCCTTTCCTCTCAGCTAAGCGCCTTCAACTGGTGCCTCCCCATCTCCTGCTTATGTGCAGGTGATAACAGAGTTTCAGCACTCGCAGAAGTATATTAAAATAATATGTTATGCTCTGAGTCAGAATAGACATTCTTTAGGGCAGGAACAGTTTATTATTACGTTTTGTACCCTAAGCATCTAGCATAGTGCCTGACACATGGGAAAGGCTTATTCAACATCCATTAAATAGAATTAAATCTGGCAAAGACTGGTGAAAAAGTGGGTGTCTAATATCTGAAATCTTTAGTCACTGCACTCTTGAGCAAAAAGTCCCTTGAGGACAGGAGTCACCATGTCAAACTAGTTATTAAATACGGTTCTAAATGCAATAGAAGTGGCTTAGTTTCTAACAGCGGGATTTGTGTATTTTTAGGAGTTGAGTATCCGTTCGAAGCATCATCAATTGAAATCGCCCTGGAATCACCTGTGACTAAACAAGGGAAATGAGTATAGACTACAAAGTGTGATAAACTCACAGCCTTATTGAGAGAAAAGAACAAAACAAAACATACAGCATCCGCTCTCAGGTGAGCTCTACATGGGCAGAGATCCCGTAGAGAGGTAAGTAGGCAGCTTCCACACCTTCTGCCCAAATCACAGCATTACAGAAAGCCAGAGTGGAATGTTGGGCTCTGCCTGTTTCTTTACTGCAGAGCTTCTTAGAGACTTTAGTCATCTAATGCCCAGGGCGGCTCTTCATGGAGGGTGTCTTAGTCCATTTTGTGTTGCTATAAAGAAATAGCTGAGGCTGGGTGATTTATAATGAAAAGGAGTTTATTTGCCTCTGCAGTTCTGCAGGCTGTACAGGAAGCACGGCACTGGCATATGCATCTGGTGAGGACTTCAGGCTGCTTCTACTCATGATGGAAAGCAAAGGGGGACAGGCACGGTGGCTCACTCCTGTAATCCCAGCACTTTGGGAGGCCAAGGTGGGTGAATTACTTGAGCCCAGGAATTTGAGACCAGCCTGGGCAACAAAGTGAAACCCCGTCTGTTTAAAAAGAAAAAAAGAAAGTGAAGGGGAGCCTGTGTGTGAAGAGAACACGTGGTGAGAGAGGAAGCAGAAGAGAGAGGGGAGGTGCCAGGCTCTTTCTAAACACCAGCTCTCTTGAGAACTAACAGAGTGAGAACTCACTCACCCCTGAGGGAGGCCATTAATCTATTCAGGAGGGATCCACTGCCATGACCCAAACACCTCCCATTAGGTTCCACCTCCAACATTTGGATCAAATTTCACAATGAGATTTGCTGGGGACAATTATCCAAACCATAGCAAAGGGACAGAGCGCACTTGGTTTCTCACACTACTTTGGCCATAGAATCTCTGTTAACACAGAAATTCTGTTAACACCATCTAGGTAATGCTGCACCACATCACAATCTGCCCTTCATGAAATTCAATTCTGCAAACACTGTGTGACCATCTCTTCACTATGCCCAAGGAGATGTTCTAGGTTGTAGGAAGGGCCACCAAGAATGAGGGACAGTTTCTGCCCTCATGTAGCTTTTGGTCTCACATGGGAAATCAGAAGAGGCTGAATCAGAGAAGAGTCAGAGAGCAAATCAGGATGAGGGGAAGAGCATGCAAATACCCTAAACAAGGCCAAAAGTGGTGTTGCAGTGTAAGGGGAAGAGGCAGAGTACCCGGCTTAGAGGTGGATGTGGGACCTGTAAGAAATCTCACGAAGGGGTGGTCTTGAGGAGACAGGCTTTCCACAGCAGACATGAGGTAGAGTAAAGCAGGGAGAGCACCAGAAGGGCAGCAGGAGAAAAGACAGATGGGGAGGGCAGGCTGCAGTGTGGAAAGGGTGGTCAGGAACCACCCCTTGGGCATAAGGTACCAACAAGGAGTGGTGTGATGGGGAAGAATCTTGGGAGGGTGGTTTGGAGTCACATTATGAATGTCACAGCAAAGAGTATGTATTTCATGCAGAACTCCAGAAGGTCTTTAATCAGAGGAGTCACATTTTAGACCACAGAGGCTTCTTAATGCCTGCCCTTATATAATCTGTTAGTTTACAAATAATTCTCTAAGGAGATGACTTATTTTGACACAATGTGACATAGAGTGAAAGCATATCCAGTTTAATTATTTTGTCCATCTATTATCTTTGAGATGATAAAATGTATCCAGAAATATATTTTGTAATAATTAGTGACTAAGTGAAATCTACTGTATTAATTACCTACTGCTTTATAATGCAGTGCTAAGATACAGTTAGCAACTTAAAAACCACACACATTTATTATCTCATGGTTTCTGAGGGAGAGAAATCCAGGCACAGATGAGCCAGGACTAACCTCAGGGTCTATCACAGAGCTGCAGTCAAGATGTCAGCCTGGGCTAGGGTCTCATCTGAAGGCCCATCTGGGTTTGCCCCCAAGCTCAGGTGTTTGTTGGCAGGATTTGGTTCCTTTAGGGTTGCTGGGCCACCTGACTTCCTCAGCTCCTTGCTTCCTTCAGGGCTATGGGGACAGTTGGCCCAAGGCCATCCCTAGTTCCTGACCACATGGTCCTCTCCCGAATGGTGGCTTGCTTTATCAAAGGCAGCCAGGAAGTGTTTCTGCTCGCAAGATAGAAGTCACTGTCTTATGTAACCTACTCATAGAAATGACATCCTTTCAATGTTGTCAATATTTTATATAGACACAAGGCACTCCAGGGATGGGGATTCCACAAGGCTGAGAATACCAGGAGCCAGAGATCACTGGGAACCGTCTTTCAGGCTGCCTGCCACATTGACACTTCACAAAATTCCCAGGTCAGAGTAAACTTATGAAACACTCATAACATTTCAAAATAATTATATCCCAACCGTACCTATAGAACTTGGGATCAACATGGTGAAACCCCGTCTCTACTAAAAATACAAAATTAGTTGGGCGTGGTGGTGCATGCCTGTAATCCCAGCTACTTGGGAGACCGAGGCAGGAGAATCGCTTGAACCCAGGAGGCGGAGTTTGCAGTGAGCAAGATCGCGCCATTGCACTCCAGCCTGGGCAACAAGAGCAAAACTCTGTCTCCAAAAAAAAAAAAAAAAAAAAAAAAAAAAGAACGTGGGATCAGTGTGGGGAAGCAGTCAAAGATAAATAACCCTGTCAGTCACTGCTCCCCTTAGCAAGACAGGACTCCATTATAAGAACAATCATGGAGGAAGGAAAGTCACCCCACAGACCCCAGAGAACCCCTCTTCCCTGCCAGCCTTGTATCCATCCTTAGGACTAAGCTCAGCCAGTCTGCTTTCATTCAAGTCCTTAGACTCTTGCAGGCATTGGGAAAGGAAAGACACTCTTTTGTTCTGTGCAGATGAAATAAGATACTCTTCATTCAGTCTGGTTCATACCCCTTCCTGGGATTGCCTCTTTCACATAAAGAATGTACCAGCAACATTCCTTAAGATGAGAAACCAAATGTTGTCAGGGTTGATTTGTGATTCTCGGAGGAAGAAAGTAAAGACAGACAGGGGAGGGTTTATCTGGATGCATGTAACAGTTAGGGAAGGACAGTTGGATTGGCTGGGTCAGGAGACGGCTAATAAAATACAGTGTCTTTGATCTGTAGGTCACCAGTCTATTTAGGGTTGCCCTGAGACATTCCCTTGAAATATGCATTTTTGGAATTCTTCCAGAAAAACTTCAAACCTTAGCTTTATCTTTTTCTTTTTTGTAGTGTGCTGGATTTTGATTTATCATTCCCTATGAAGTTGTGGGTGAGATTTCACCTTTGTTTGTCCAAAACCATCCAGGCACACAAAAGTGTTCTCCCTATAACCGGTGGTATGTGGATCCTGCCAGGATATGACTATCGGTATTTCTACTACAACTTGGTGAGAAATCACCCCCCTAACCGGAGCTGTGAAGTGGAGGGTCTCAAGGCTGTGCTATTCAACTTGGCCATCAGATGTTAACAGGGGCCTTTTCCATCAGTCTACAGAGCCCAAAGGGAATGCCATAGGATATTAAACATGTCAGCACCATGCTTTTCAAGAAGAAATGTGAGAAGCTGGCTTTGGTCACCAAGATGACCACACTCAATCACTGCCTATGCTGGCCTGGGTTGCCTTAGGTTAGTACCCCCCTATTTATCCAGACAGCACAGGATCTTAACTGTATTAGACAAAAGAAATAAAGAATTTAGAGTGCAATGTCAAATTATCCACATTTTTGCCTTAGGGTAAAAGCACCTTATAGTTGTAAAATGTTGTTATATTTTGTTTAAGGAGGTGTTTGGTAGTGGGGGTGGGTGGGGAGTTAAAGTTACATGGAGTTAAGTTTGGGTTTGTGTTGCCAAGTTTCACCTCAAAATGCAGTATGATTTTTCAAAAGTCAATTTTATGAGTTGTGAGAAAAATTACTTGAGGAAAGAGCTCAGGTCTCCTCAAAAAGAAGGAAAAGACAAAGAGGTAGAAAAGTGCAAAAACGTGGAGAGGAGAAGGCAGACATTCAGGTTCACATTAAGAGTTGACTGCACTCTTCCTAATATCTTAATGCTTTTTACTGTGAAACACAACACACATTTGGGAAGAATGCACAAAACAAAAATGTATAACTTGATGATTTGCCAGAAGAACCATGTTAGCCATGAGCCCAGTTAATAACTATGATACTGCCAGCTCCCCGGAAGTCCTTTAGTACCATTCATCCACCACCCATTTATACCCACAAGAGTAGTCATTAGCCTGTCTTTGGTGGTGATCACTTCATTGCTTTCCTTTATAGTTTTTATACTAAGCATGCATCACTAAATAACACAGTTTAATTTAATCTGCTTTTTGAACTTATTATATATGTGGAAATATGCAGCATGCACTTTTTAAATTTTTAATGTTTTTAACATCTGGCTTCCTTTGCTGAACATAGTGTTGGAGAGATTCACTCATGTTATTGCCGTGGTATGGCTAGAACATTCACTTTCACTGATGCAGACCACATCATTGCATGAATATCCCACCATTTATGCATCTATTTTACTGTTGGTAGATATTTAGATTTTCTCAATTTGGGGACTATTATAGATAACGCTGCTATAAGCATTTTTGTATGAGAGTTTTGGTGCCTGCATTTGTGCTTGGGTATGTGTGTGCACCCCAGGAGTAAAACTGTTCAGCCATAGGGTATGCATATCTTCGAAGTTTGCAGATATTGCCCAGCTGTTTTCCGGAGTGTTTCTATCAAGTGGTGCTCCCATTAGCATTGTTAAGAGTTACTCCTACTCCACATCCTAACACTTGGTATGCAGAGTCATTTTAACGTTAGCCATTCTTTTGAGTATGTGGTCCTATCTCTTTATTTTAATTTGCATTTCTCTGATGACTGAGTGTATTTTTGTATTTTTCTTTGGATATTATCCTCTTTTGCAAAATACTTGTTTTTTCCCACTTGATTTTTTTCTTATTGATATATAGTTTTTACATTTTTAAACTTTTCTTTTAGGTTCAGGGGTGTATGTGCAGGTTTGTTATATAAGTAAACTTGTGTCGTGGAGGGGGGGTTTGTTGTTCAGATTATTTCATCACCCAGGTACTAAGCCTAGTTCCCAGTAGTTATTTTTTCTGCTCCTCTCCCTCCTCCCAGTCTCTATCCTCAAGTAGGCCCCAGTGTATGTTGTTCCCTTCGTGTCTATGAGTTCTCATCATTTAGCTCCCACTTATAAGTGAGAACACGCAGTATTTGGTTTTCTGTTCCTGCGTTAGTTTGCTAAGGATAGTGACCTTCAGCTCCATCCATGTTCCCACAAAAGATATGATCTCATTTTTTCTTGTGGCTGCACAGTATTCCATGCTGTATATGTACCACATTTTCTTTATCCAATCTGCCGTTGATGGGCATTTAGGTTGATTCCATGTCTTTGATATTTGAATAGTGCTGCAATGAACATTCATGTGCATGTGTCTTTATGGTAGAATGATTTATATTCCCCTAGGTATATACCTAGTAATGAGATTGCTGGGTTGAATGGATTTTCTGTCTTTAGGAAAATTACCATACTGCTTTCCACAATGATTGAACGAATTTATACTGCCACCAGCAGTATATTAAGTGTTCCCTTTTCTCTGCAGTCTCACCAGTATCTTATTTTTTGACTCTGTAATAACAGCTATTCTGGGTTTGAGATGGCATCTCATTGTATTGATTTGCACTTCTCTAATGATCAGTGATATTGAGCTTCTTTCCATATGCTTGTTGGCTGCATGCATGTCTTCTTTAGAAGAGTGTCTGTTCATGTCCTTTGTTCACTTTTTAGTGTTTTTTTTTCTTGTAAATTTGTTTAAGTTCCTTATAGCTGCTGGATATTAGACCTTTGTCAGATGCATAGTTTGCAAAAATTTTCTCTCTATCTGTAGGTTTTCTCTTTACTCTGTTGATAGTTTCTTTTGCTGTGCAGATGCTCTTAATTAGGTCCCATTTGTCCATTTTTGCTTTTGTTGCAATTGCTTTTGGTGTCTTTGTCATGAAATCTTTGCCTGTTCTTATGTCCAGGATGGTATAGCCTAGGTTGTCTTCCAGGGTTTTTATAGTTTTGGGGTTTACATTTAAATCTTTAATCCAACTTGAGTTGATTTTTTTTTAATATGGTATAAGGAAGGGGTCCAGTTTCAATCTTCTGCATATGGCTAACCAGTTATCCCAGCACCATTCATTGAATAAGGATTCCTTTCCCCATTGCTTTTGTCAGCTTTGTTGAAGATCAGATGGTTGTAGGTGTGCAGCCTTATTTCTGGGCTCTCTATTCTGTTCCATTGGTTTATGTGTTGTTTTTATACAAATACCATGCTGTTTTTGCTCCTGTAGCCATGTAGTATAGTTTGAAGTTGGGTAACATGATGTCTCCAGCTTTGTTCTTTTTGCTTAGGATTGCCTTGGCTATTTGGGCTCCTTTTTGGTTCCATATGAATTTTAAAATAGTTTTTTCTAGTTTTTGAAGAATGTCATTGGTAGTTTGATACAAATAGCATTGAATCTATAAATTGTTTTGGGCAGTATCGCCATTTTAATGATATTGATTCTTCCTATCCATGAACATGGGATGTTTTCCATTTGCTCATGTTATCTTTGGTTTCTCTGAGCAGTGTTTTGTACTCTCATTGCAGAGATCTTTCACCTCCCTCGTTAGCTGTATTCCTTGGTATTTTATTCTTTTTGGGGCAATTGTGAATGGGATGGTGTTTCTGATTTGGTTCTCAGCTTGGCTGGTTGTTGGTACATAGGAATGTTACTGATTTTTGTATATTAATTTTGTATCCTGAAACTTTGCTGAAGTTGTTTATCAGCTGAAGGAAGGACTATAAGGTTTTCTAGATACAGAATTTGGGATGCTCAACCTGTATGTTTTAGAATCATATTTTTAATTTCCACAAAAAAGTAGACTGGAATTTTTATTAAGACTATTGAATATATAGATCAATTTGAGGAAAAACAACATCTTTACTATACTGAGTTTACCAATTCATCAACATGGTATTTCCCACCATTTTTAAATTTAGGACTTTTTAAGAGTTATTTTATTTTCTAATTGACATATAATAACATGCAGATATTTATGGGCTATAGTGATGTTTCAACACATATAATGTATAGTCTGCCTGAAAATGTTTTTTCCTGCTGATATATGTGCCTTTATCAATCTTTAAAAATATTTATTGCAAAGTATCTGAATTTTTCATGCCATTATAAATGGTATAATTTAAAACTTTTTCCTTTTAAAAATCCTGTAGGCTATGCGTATGTGTAAATTGAGAGGTGATTTTAAAGTCTATGTGGATATTCTGATTTTGAGAATAATTTTCATCAATTCTGAAGAACTGTCAGCCATTAACTCTTCAAATACTTCTTCCCAATTCTCTTTCATATCCTTCTGAAATTCTGATTAGATATATTCTTCTGGAAATCTATCCTCTGTGTCTCTTACCTACTTTTATTTCTCTCCCTGTCTGATGTAGAATGTGCTGAATTATCTCTAGAGCTATCCTTCCCTTCACTAATTCTCTCCTTATCTGTCTAATCTGTTGTTTAACCTACTGGTTCTCAAAAGAGGGTAATTTTGTCCCCCAGGAGACACTTGGGGTGTCGTGATCTGCTGAGATGGATCACGAGTTCAGGAGATTGAGACCATCCTGGCCAAAATGGTGAAACCCCATCTCTACTAAAAATACAAAAATTAGCTGGGCGTGGTGGCGCATGCCTGTAGTCCAAGCTACCTGGGAGGCTGAGGCAGGAGAATCGCTTGAACCCAGGAGGCGGAGGTTACGGTGAGTGGGGATTGCGCCACTGCACTCTAGCCTGGGTAACAGAACAAGACTCCGTCTCAAATAAATAAATAAATAAATAAATATAAATAAATAAAAAATAAAAATTCACAGGACAGCTCCCAACAACAAAGAATTATCCAGCCCAAATGCCAACAGTGTCATGGTTTTACCTATCTTGAGAGAGACACAGAAAGAGATACACACACACACACACACACACACACACACACACAGACACAAAGAGGGAGAGAGAGAGTTGGATTTGTCTGGTTCCTTAGTTCCTTAAGTTGCTCCTCCTCCCTTGGAATAAATATGGAGTAGAGAGAGGCTCCTTTTCTTTTGCTTCCTACCTTGTGGAACAGAAATTTTCTCACTTTCAAGGAATATTAAGGAAAGAGGAATAGGTGTTCTTCCCAACAACTCCTGTATCTGACACCATTTTCCCGTCAGTACCACCCTTAAACCAAGGCAAGAAATCCCTATGCTTTGGGACTTTCTGTTTCTGTCCCTCCTCCAGACACTTTTTGCTTATGCCTAGAGCCTGTATTAGCCCCATCTTCTAGACCACGCTCAGGTAACTGGGACCCCAGGAGTTCCCTGCCCACAGGCCCAAAGCCTGCATCCAGAAGCTGCATGTGCCTCTCTTCTGTGCCCATAATCCTGAGGGTGGAGTGGCGTCTGGTCTGTGCACTCCCAGGTCTGAGTGGTAGCCATGCAGAGCTGTTTGTGGGTGCTGAAGACATGCCTGACACCTGCAGCTGGAGTGTGCACATGTGTACTTGGGACCCTGAAAAGCAGGATAGGGGAAGGGAGCTGACTCTCTCTGCACCCCTTTTTGGTTGAATTCTGAGATGTTTGAGAACTCCAAATTAAAATATGTCCTTCCAAGTCATTATAAAGGAATATCTGTCAAGATCAAAGCATAAAACAAATTTTATTTAACCATTTCTTTGCTTGATTTTTAACTTTGAAATATTTAGATATATAGTAAGCAGGCCTCTATATGTACTCTGGCCTGGAGCTCCACAAATGTTAATGAAGGGCCTGCTTCCATGTGTTTTACTGAAAAGCTTAATTAAGTAAAAACAAACAAAAAGCCAATATCTCTCAGATATATGTGTATTTATTTATATAATAGTCTGGAAGGATATACAAAAAAGTTAACAGGGTTAACTTCTACAGGGGTGGGATTTTGGATGATTTTTTTTCTTCTTGCTTATTTGTATTTTCTAATTTTTTGGAGATAAACATGGGACACTTCTGCAATTTATTAAAGGAGGAGGGTGAACATTAATCAGAGCATACCTATCTGAAGAAATCACCCTATGTCCTACTGATAATGATCAGGGGAATCAACTTCATATGTAAAGCACATTCTAGTGCTGTTCGTGTGTGTGTGTGTGTGTGTGTGTGTGTGTGTGTGAGAGAGAGAGAGAGAGAGTGAGAGAAGGAGCTGGAGCTGTTATGGCATAAGCATGTCTTCTGACCAGACAGCTGTAAAAATCCCAAGACAGCTTTTATCAACCCTGGCACCAGATATCCTCTAGGCCAAATTGATTCAGTAAATAGAGTGATGAAGGACAAGACTGAAAGATATTCTGCAGCATTGTTTCTCAAACCCCAGGGTTCTGACCCCCATGGGATTACAGAAACTGGAGCCAAGTTGCTGCATACTCCTATCCAGGGACTCCACCAGCCCCTGGGAACCGATAGACCATCCACAATGCCCCTTTCTCTTGATCATAACAATAACTAATTGTACACAGTTGCTCACATAGTACTTCACATACATCATCTGATAAATTCAGTCTGGTCTGTAGGGTGGGTATTTGCATTTTTATAGCTGAGGAAATTGGGGCTGAGAGGTTCAGGAGCTCAGGTGTGGTCACAGCTAGGAGGCGGTAAAGCTGAGACTTCATCCAGGTCTTCTAATTCTCTGACTTCATCCTAGTCAGCCACTTCCCCATTTCATCAGTTTTTTGTTTTGCTTTTGCCTGTTACTCCCCATCCTCTTTTTCTTTCCTTTTCTTAGCACCAACCTGAGAAATCCTAATGATGGGAACTTGGTTCTTTCTCGTTTACTTCATAAAAATCCATCATGTTTTCTTCTTTATCCCTTCCCTTATCACCACTTGCCACCCAGAAATGGGGAAAAGGTTGCTATAGAATGAAAATGCTAATAAACATTTTGGTATCACAGCCCAGCAGCACTGAATGTCATCAGGCTTCTGAGTGGGGCACAGAAAAGGTTGTCAGTGTTAATAATCAAATGGTTTCGAAGACACTCTTGCTTGCATCATGTTTCTATATCATTTATTTTTAAAGCACTTTATATGCATCTTCTCAACTGGTATTGTATATAACACCCCTGTACAATATGGATCACTAACAGGCTACAGATAATGGAACTGAGGCTCAGACATTAAGAAACTTCTTCGAGTCTCACAGTAATAGAGTCTTCAAGAAGCACATCTGTCTGTGAACAGCGCTGTGCAATAATTTCTGTGTGCCTATAGATACTGATGTGCATCTGAGCCCTCGATCTGGAAAAAGTTAGCAATGCATGGGTTAGATCCTTAACAACATTAACATGATTTACCCCCCCCTCCCCCTTTCTGGCAATAACATCACAAAAGATTAGAAAATGGCTGATACTTACCGTTCAGAAGACCACTTTAATAATATCAGTTTTCTGCCTCGTAGCCCTTGGCAGGACTCTCTTTTCACAGAACACAATGTTGGCACAGGGCCAAGAGATGGCGAAGTTGACTCAGAGGTCACTGCAGTTTATAAGTCAGAATAATAAAAAGGAAGGCAGATTTGACACCACTGGCAAGGGAAAGATTTTGGTGTTGTGCTAAGCAAACGGATTACAGCTAGCTCTGAGTAACATAGGAGGAGTAAAGAGCTATTGAAGGGGAAAAAGTCCACGTAAAAAGGCAAACCACTATAGTGAGAGCTTGCAAATGCTCTCAAAACTGACCATTGTTATTTATCCTAACATCAAAGAACAAAACAGAATCTGCTCAAGCGAACACTTCTATGAACCAAGGTGAAAGAGACAAGTGCTTTATGATAAAGTATCGAGAAAACATACACACACACAAACTGATTTTTGAATTGGCTTTGCTGAAAGCTACATATCTAGAGTAAAAAGCACCTCTTTCTTCACTAAGCTCCTGCAATTTAAAAAAATAAGAATAGAAAAATTCCAAGATAAGCTCGGCTTTTAACCCATTTATGCTTAGTGTTCCATTATCGGAACGCTAAGCGTGTGAGAGTTATTTATATTCTACTGCTCAAGGTCATCACCAAGCTCTGATTGCAAAAATTTTAAAAATTGCAACCTCCGGCATAAATGGGTTAAGTTCACTTGGTGAAAACCAAATACAGCTACAATTATTATTAGGCCTTGGTGTGTGAAGGACTCCAAGAGTTAAAAGCAAACCAGCACCACCTTTAGCCCATAAGGGATTACTCTTTTATTAGTATAGTCTTGGGATTAGTGGAAATGTCTGTCTAATGAATGCAGCTACTATATTTGAGCACATGCCTGAATAAGCTACTTGTTGATTGAAACGTATCTATTTATAAGCACTTCTGCATGTTGTGAAAAATCCATCTGTATTACCACAGCATGGCACCCACCATTTGAATAAAGGCTCTTTGCCATTTCACTATAGGGCCTTTTGAATGAATAGGCAGAAAGGAAGTGTGTTGCATCCACTTAACAGATTTTATTCCTCACTCTTGGCCAGTAAAGTAGAGTTACCTTATCTAAACAGCAATTTAGATTGATGTGGATGTTACAAAAACAGCAATGGAAAAAAAGAAATACTTTTCATCAGACTCACCCAGGGTTTTTAGCTAGTAAACCTACTATAATTTGGACAAACGTTCACAAAGCCTAAACTAACCAGACCTCTGCTTAGGTCATAATCTTTGAACTAAGTCTGGAAAGTAGGTGGATTTACTACACATACTTCTTGTCATTTCTTTTTTACATTTCTGCTTATGAATACCACACTAATGGCATGCCCAAGAGAAACAAGTACAGCATAAGAACAGTCTTGATAACACAGTCAAATAAGTCGATGCTTTCAATGGCTGTGTCCTCATCTGTGCTAAGGCTCCATCCTAGGTGGGTCCAAGCCTTCCACCCCTAAATGGGGACTTCAACGTCCACTCTGGGAATCTGAGCTCTGAGTCCCACCTGCTCCCACCTCTCAACACACGGCCACTGCTCTGCCTTCCAGTCTCAATACCATCGCTGCAAGCTTCTTGAGTTTGCATTTAGGTATTCCACTGAAGCCTATCTTCTCTCTTTTGCAGTTAGGGGCCCCATTTACTATGCTTATTATGCTACCTCTGGGGAAAAGCTGGTGAGGAATTTATTAAAACTTTTTATTCAAAAAGAGTAAATTACATATATATATATATATATATATATTTTTTTTTTTTTTTTTTTTTGAAATGGAGTTTTGCTCTTGTTGCCCAGACTGGAGTGTAGTGGCGCAATCTCGGCTCACTGAAACCTCCGCCTCCCGGGTTCAAGCGATTGTCCTGCCTCAGCCTCCTGAGTAGCTGGGATTACAGGCACCCACCGCCATGCTCGGCTAATTTTTTTGTATTTTTATTAGAGACAGGGTTTCACCATGTTGGCCACACTGGTCTTGAACTCCTGACCTCAGGTGATTCACCCGCCTCGGCCTCCCAAAGTGCTGGGATTACAGGCGTGAGCCACCGTGCCCGGCCAAGAGTAAATAATCTTAACAAACCACAGGCTATTATTAACAGAGACCTCACAGAATTTCTCTTGGAGAACTTTATAAATGATGCTGGGCAAACTGTCCAGATCCCATTATTAGAAAGAGAAGATTGAAATCAGTGGTCAACTGGAAGCTTCAGCGAAAGCAGAAACAATGCAGGCTTTAGTAGTCTTCAAATCCTGGCTCTTTCTCTTTCTAGAGTTTGTGACCCTTAGTTTTCTAGTGATATCACGAACAGACCTAGCAGGGCTCTTTTGATGGTCAAAGATGATGCCAGGTGAAATGCCTGGTACATAGTGAGAACTCAATAACTTGTAGCTATTATAATTATTATTCACACTCTGGGAAGGCAGTAAGATTAAAGAATCACATCTTTTCTATTTTTCTAATTGGAAAAGCAAAAGAATAATTCTGAAAGCAAAAGTGTTAATAATTGGAAACCAAAGTGAAACTTATAAAACATAAGGCATTTGGAAACACAAGCATTTAACCATAATATATCAACACAAAGCACCAAAGATCGTATAATAAATAATACAGCATTGTTTTAAGGTTTTTTGCTTTTTGTTTTTTGAAACAGGGTCTTGCTCTGTCACCCAGGCTGGAGTGTATACAGATTCTGTATCACTAACTCTGAGGCTAGGTGAAAATGTTTTTTAAGAGATAGGAACAACTTGATGAAAAGTACTATTATCATCACACTCATTTGTCAGATGAAAAAACCAAGTAGCTAAATTAAATATTAAATGTTAGGTAGCAGAGATGAGGCTTTTAGAAAACCCCAAGCTTTCCCTACTTTACCTCCCCACACATTTTCTTCAATTATCTTAAACACTCACCTAAGTAAGATTAAAAAATAATAATAATAATAGGTCTATGCCTTTAAAGAAAACATCTAGTAGCTCTCACTTTTGTGAGATCACTCCAAGATAAAAGAGTAATATATATATTACTTTGATTTTGTCCAGCACAGCATTGGAGAACATGACTGCAAGGAGATAGCTCTTCTGTGACTTGGTTTGTGACTTCTCACAATCACTGATGCCTTTCTACCTTGAACCCAAGGAAAGCAAACTGAAGACCAAAAACTTCTACAACTTTGATGCTCTACTTCAGTCTTCTACTTGACTGCTGAAATGATTGTCCTTTTCAGTATTTATTTTCTGTCCACTTTCTATTAGGGTTCACAGCTTGATACTAATAAAAATTAATCTTAAAATCTTGTTCCATCCACCCATTCAAGCATCCACCCATCCATTCACCCATCTATTCCTCAATGACTTCTATAAAAGGTTTATGTAGACCCTTAATGTTAACTCATTTTATTGGTCTTTCTCACAGGTATTGTCTCTGCTATAAGAGAAACTGCTTTGGGGCATATGCCAACTTCTTTTTAAGGCAATATGCTAATAGAAAAGAAGCAGTGGTTAAGAAATGAGAGCATTTAGCACTGGTAAGCATTCATAATCAAAATTCACTAATAAAAGGGTTTTTTAAAGATGGTTTTTAAATGTTCAGGATACTTAATGGATTATGAATTTTTAAGTTTCCAAAGGCAATTGAAACTCACAAAGAGGCTACGAGTAGAAATTATTTACATCTTATATATAAGAACATGGAAAAAAAAAAAAGGGCCAAGTGATTTATACATGGGACCCAAAATGTAGCAACCCAAGCCAGGACTTAGAATTCCTCACTATGACTTTTGTACTAAGATTATTAAGCTCAGCTGCTGCCTTCAATATTTGGCTCCATAGACATTGAAAGCATTTTACTTTCGCATTTCTGTAATATGGCACCATTAATAGCTGTCTTCACCCATAATACCCTAATTAAACAACTATCTTTGGGGCCGGTTGTATACATAATGAAGGGGTAACAGCCTAGTTCCTAGTAACTAAGCAAAAATTTAGGTTATGCCATTTTTTTCTTGCATTTTCTTGATTTAGAAGTTAAACCATGCTCACATTTCCAATTTCGCCAAGTCTGTATCTTTCTGAAACAAGCACAAAATCTCAAGAAACATAAATGTTTCTAGCTCCAAGTCCACTCTTTTATCACTTTTGAACAATAAAGCAGTCAATCTAATGATTTCACAAACTTGTAGTACGTGATTTTCACCTGTTTAGACAAAAGGTTTTCCAAAGTATGATCCAATTAATGTTAGGTTGAAAGAGAATAAACACTATATTAAAAACAAAATTAATTTAATTGCTCTTTGTGCCAAAATACCTCAAGAATAAAAATACTGAACTCAACTATAATTAGACCTAACGAAATAGGGAGTTTTAAAAATTTAATATACTTCAGAAAGCATATAAAATTGAAAACATCACAAAACCAAGAATGTTAAGTCATAAAACAAATTTATTTTAAAAATCAATATCTTGCATTTCAGATATACAGATGTATCTTTTACCAGCAGGTGAAAGCACCTTTTCCAGAATCTGCTTCCAGCAGAATCAATACTGATTTCGAAACTGGTTGCTTAGGTCTTGGAGCTCTGTCACTAAGGTGTCCATAGCTGTTATGTCATCAGCTAATTCCCTGGACATTTCTCCAGTTGCCACATCTGTAAAAAGTTGCTGTAATATAAAAAACAAAGCAGAAGTATTAAAACAACACAAATTTCTTTAAAATAAAATAGATACAGAGTATAGAGTTAAAAAACCTTTTGCATAATAATACTATACAATTATAATAGCAATGGTAGCATTTTTTTCTGTTCACTAGCCAAGAAATGTACAAGCTAAAATAATTAAAGGGTGAATCAAAACAACATGCCTGAACTTATAAATTCAAATGAGCTCTGCTCTTCAACGCATTTGCCTAAATTCTCATTATTCATTTCAATGTTATAGGATGGTTTTTGAATGAACAGACATAATTCAACTAAACAAAATGACTTTATTTATTGTGTATGCAGGCAAAACAAATATATTCTATGTTCAAATTCATATAAATCATACCCTTTATGCTACTTACTTGAAAATTAATTTCGCTTAGGCCTCAGAGACCACAAAGATTATCCTAGCAAAAAAGTCCAGCAAAATAAAAATAACTGTGTCCTCTCCCTGAAAAAGGAATTGCCTTGGGAGGTTTATTGCAACATATTTCAATCATGCTACCACAGCTGAAAACATTTGGAAATGCCTCTCCAGGAACTGCCTGCTGAGCCAACATAGGCCCCCAAGAAAATCAACTTCAGGATTTTATGACCCCATGGTATGTGTATGTGTGCACACATGTGCACGTGTGTACATGCGACTGTGTATATGTTTTATTCAGAAATATCATTTATGTAGCTTGCCAAATATCTGTTTCACTGGATTTGACTACATGATTTGTACAGCATTTCATAACAAAATGAAGTAGGAACTGCTCCAATGTCATCAGCAGAGAAAACACCTTTTAGGAAAATAACCTAGCCTCACATAGTTTTTTTGGTTTTTGTGTGTGCGTTTTTAAACTAAGAATTACAGTGCTTGCAAATCATAATCAATCGGCATCACTTCCCTGTGGGGTAAGGAGGAAGCACGGAGAAACTGAGGCTTAGAAAAAAGTGAATAATTTGCTGAGAGTCCCAAAGACTGTAAGGGGTCAAATCTGTTCTGTGTCCAGGCTCTCCAGCACTCTCATGAACAGCCCCTTCATGCCACTCTTGGCAGCAAACCTGTACAAGGACAGGGTGCAAATGGGCAGGGGAGTCACTCTGTCCTGGGAGAGCATGGACTGGATGATTTGT
Organism: Homo sapiens; assembly: GCF_000001405.40. NCBI lineage: Eukaryota > Metazoa > Chordata > Mammalia > Primates > Hominidae > Homo > Homo sapiens. The sequence continues at coordinate 32,819,655 of NC_000002.12, read as the reverse complement.
TAGGTGAGTCTCTAGGTACTAGGAGCTTATTTCCATGAAGTCCCTGGCCTGGCAAGAAAAGACCTGAGATTCATTCAATTAAGCCTATTTAACATAGGCTGCAAGCAATTTAACATAGTTATCCTCATTCATTTTCAATCTTCATTTTCACTTTTTAAAGTATTCTAAAAAAGTGACTTTTTTGGAATGCAATTCAGTTTGACAAACCTAATTCATTAAATAGAAAAGGCATAAGATCTACGAAACCAGAGACTCCCAAATATATGTGAAATATGCTTCAGAGGAGGCACTGGGAGGTAATTTTTCCCATTTTTGGATAATCCAGTTGGCATCTAATGAGAATGAAAATCTAAACACAGATGATGTTCTGGGGCCGCATTTTCATTATGTGGGAATCTACCATAATATGGGAAGGTGTGCAGTACCTGCACAGACAATACTATTCAAGTCATGCAAGTATAGATTACATAAAGTAGTAATTTGTAAGAAAAAGCTTTGCACAGACAAAAGGAAGCCACAGTATACCCTGAAGAAGTAAACTACTGTGGTAGTAGTAGAAGTAAACTACTTTGATTAGATCACTGATCAAAAGTAGGAAACAAAGCTCCCACTTTGGGAAGGAAAGTCACAGGAAAAAACCCTGCTGCTCTGACTTTGAGGGGGCTCTTATAGATTTCCGAGAGACACAATTTTGAAGTTGTGCTGCCAAGCTAGGAGGAAATATAGTTCTCCTGGGTCATGCAGATAAATAGGAAAAGTGAAGTAAGTTAATTATTTAAAGAGGCAAAAATGATGCCTTGATCTGAAAAGATCAAACCATTAATAAGAACAAAAAAATACTCAGAAAGGCGGTTACAGAGTAAAAAGGTATTCAGAAATGGCCTCCCTGTGCCAGAGACTTACTCTCGGAAGTAAGTCAAAATTACTTTGCAACCCAAGATGCAATAGTGAAAGCAAGTAAAGGCTAGAAAAGTAAGTGCTAAATTGTGCTAGAAGTTATATTTGTCCAAATTTTGCTTCCAGAGGTATAATCCAAACCTGGCTGCAGAGTAAAATCACATAGGAAATTCAACAGATTTCCTGGGTCCATCCCAGACCTGAATCTACATCGGTCACAGATAGAGCCCAAGAATCAATCCAGTCTTCAATAAAGCTCCCTGAGTGATTCTTAGGCATCTCTGGCCCAGCACTGGTACACAAGTTAGTTTTTGTGAACTAATGGCGTATTTCAGTTGTCAAACCTCAATAGCCATCTACCTTAACAATTTTGCTCACATCCATATACGACCTACTTAATATTTTTATCTAAGTCAATTTTTTTACTTAAGAGTCTTTCTAAAAGGAAACATTACATTGCAACTTTAAATACAAAATAAGCAATAATATTCATGAAATTATAGGCTTGATGAGCTAGTCTGCTTTTTTTCTAATATGTACTGAAATGAATATATATTTAAACCAGAAGTTTACCAGTAGCATATATGCCACACTTTGGGGGAAAATGACAATAAATACAAGAGCATTGTTTTATTTTAATTTAAGGAAAGCATTAAGGGCTGAATTGTAAACATTAGTTTCAAAGACTTTTTTTTTTTTTGGGACATGGTATCTCACTCTGTCACCCAGGCTGAAGTGCAGTGGTGCAATTTCGGCTCACTGCAACCTCTGCCTCCCGGGTTCAAGAGATTCTCCTGCCTCAGCCTCCTGAGTGGCTGGGATTACAGACACCCGCAACCATGCCCAGCTAATTTCTGTATTTTTTAGTAGAGATGGGGTTTCACCATGTTGGCCAGGCTGGTCTCAAACTCCCAACCTCAAATGATCTGCCTGCCTTGGCCTCCCAAAGTGCTGGGATTACAGGCATGAGCCACTGCACCCAGACAATTTCAAAGACTCTTAAGTCATACACATTTAGAGTGGTCTATCCATTAGGCCAATAGTATCCTCACAACACAACCAACCATGAGGGGGCTGCTATATTAAATAAAACATGCGCCTAAAATTATCACTGATGTAAAAGAAGATTTAACAGCAATAAGCTGATACTAATGACCTTTTTCTATATGACAATTCCAATTAATTCACATGTCACTCTCACCTTTGCTTTAGATAACAAGCCCCGTAAATTGAGTCGAACAGAAGAAAGCATTTGTACAGCTTCTTGGGAACTGGATTTGTTTTTACTGCATTTTATGGCCACTGGAAGATAAGTATGGAGAGAAACATCCATTAAAAAGTGTTAATAATAATTCACAGGTACAAAAGCCAATTATTTAATTAGAATTTTTATAGTAACATACTTTAGAAACACTTCTACCTGGAAAGTTTTTATTGTTGAAAAAGAATAATAATTATGTACATAGCTTTTCCCTTTATCCTTCTTCTTCTTCTTCTTCTTTTTTTTTTTTAAGATACAGGGTCTCACCCTGTCGCTCAGTCTGGAGGTGTGGCATACAGCCTTGAACTACTGGCCTCAAGCTAGTCTCCTGCTGCAGCCTCCCAAAGCACTGAGATTACAGGTGTCAGCCATTGCACCTGGCCTTTCTCTATCCTTCTTTAAGAATGGTAATTTACTGCTCCAGGGAATTTTGGGAAAAACAGGTGATTTTTGGTGAGTTACGGATCACTGGGAAGAGACCCTAAACACATATACACGCATGCATTCGAGCACACACACGCACACATGTGCATAGACAAATAAAATTAGGCAAGGAGACAAAATATTATTGAAAACAAAGTACCCACACAGACAAAAACAGATGCAGCACATCTTTGTGTGGCTTTCCATGCTACCAAGTCCCCAATGGGGACTTCACAACTGCTGATGACACAAGCCCAAGGAAGTGACATGCCAGATCTGTACAGCTCAATTCTTACTGCATTTTCATAATCAGGGTTTGAAGCACCATTCAGGAAGCACTGACAGCAACCCATGTGTCTTCATGTAGAGAACGCGACCACAACCAGGTTCTTAAGTTCCTGAGCAAGGCTTGGCATCAGCAGGGAATGGGCAAGAGTGAATCACAACTCTGCTCCCAGCATTCTGGGGAACTCATTTTCCCAAAACCTGAAACTACGAAGAAGGCATCGTTCTTCCTGGTAGAAGGCCTGGCTATTAATGCTTTATGAGAACGAGTGAAGAGCTTTGTACAAACATAATGCCCAATATTTCCCCACTGGCTTGTTCTTGGTTTTGTTCCCTAAATTATGCTCACTAAATTCAAACAGACCAATAATCAGATACTCCTTTAAAATGACACTAAACAGCGCAAGGATTAAAGTCTACTTTATACTCTAGATTGTAGACCAAGGATAGAAAATCAATTTTTTTTTTTTTTTGAGACAAGGTCTCGCTCTGTCACCGAGGCTGGAGTGCAGTGACACAATCATGGCTCACTGCAGCCTCAACCTGCAGGATTCAAGTGATTCTCCTACCTCAGCCTCTCAAGTAGCTGGGACCACAGGTGCATGTCACCACAACCAGCTAATGTTTTAATTTTTTAATTTTTTGGTAGAGATGGGGTCTCACTATGTTGCTCAGGCTGATATTGAACTCCTGGGCTCAAGTGATCCACCCACCTCAGCCTCCCAATTACAGGCATGAGACACCATACCCAGCCCAATAGATTTCTTTTTGCACGCAAAGACTAATCAATCGGTAGAGGCTGCCTGTGCCTGGCAAAACAGAGTTCTGTCATTAATTAATATCTTCCAAGGCCAGCAAGAACTAGGTTTGACATTCCTATCTTAGAGTAATAATGAGGAATAATAATTAGACTTTGACATTTCTCATTAAAGGGTGAGAGGATGCATAATAATTAGCAATGTTAAGCCCATTTTCAAAAGGCAGAGTTAGCCCAGAGATAGCGGGGATTATTAATCTGTTTCTCTTAGTAGAGGAAAGTTGTAACCACCATGGCAGCGGTATTTGAGCTGTTTAGTACCCAGCAGTTTAGATCAGAAACTGCTGTATTTCTTTTTTAATCCCTTATTTTCATTCTGACAAAAACAAAAGTAAAGCAAAAAGACAGATATACTCTATTAGTTTTCCTACTCAATCCCATTTCCAAAAGGCATTATAGACTGAGATAGAGACAGACAGCTAGAGGGAGAGAAATAACTTGCTGTTTCAAATCATCAGAAAATCTGCCAGCACTTTGGGAGGCTGAGGCGGGCGGATCACAAGGTAAGGAGATTGAGACCATTCTGGCTAACACGGTGAAACCCTGTCTCTATTAAAAATACAAAAAATTAGCCGGGCGTGGTGGTGGGCGCCTGTAGTCCCAGCTGGCTTGGGAGGCTGAGGCAGGAGAATGGCGTGAACCTGGGAGGCGAAGCTTGCAGTGAGCCGAGATCGCGCCACTGCACTCCAGCCTGGGCGACAGAGCAAGACTCCGTCTCAAAAAAAAAAAAAAAAAAAAAAAAAAAAAAATCTGAAGCAGCAGTGCCTCCTCTATGTAAACTGCAGTTAAAATGCATTAACTCTTATTTTAAAAACTCCTGGATGGCAAAGAGCTGAAACACTTTAGCCCACCCTTTCCCAGAAAATCAAATAGCAGAAACTATAAATGTATACCTTCCAGACAATACAAATGAGCACACAATGATGACATTGTTATAGGGAGGCCTCAAATACTATGTCAAGGTCGCAATATCTTATCAAGCTTTCTGAAGTGCATGGCTACCTTAATGATAGCAACCCAAGGAGTAAACCATGTGGAGATTTTTAAAAATGTTATTCAGTCATGCATCACTTAATGATGGGGATACGGTGTAAGAAATGTGTGGTGAGGCAATTTTGTTGTTGTGAGAACATCATAGGGTGTACTTACACAAACCTAGATGGTATAGCCTACTATGCACCTAGCTACATGGTATATAGCCTACTACTCCTAGGCTACAACCCTGTACAGCATGTGACTGTACTGAACACTGCAGGCAATCAGAACACAATGGTAAGTATTTGTCTATCTAAACATTGGGAAGGTACAGTAAAAATATGGTTTTACAATATTATGGGGCCACTGTCATATATGTGGGTCCACTGGTGACCAAAATGTTGCTATGGGATGCTTGATTGTATTTCCTTTTTATAATTGGGTGGGGTGGAGGAACAATGTTTTGAAGAGACTCATACACAGAGAAATCCAGCTTATTCTTTCTGCACTAAGGTACAAAAGTAACAAGGAAATGATTAAGATTTATCTTTGTAAATCTAAAATATCATCAGAAACGAAAGCTGGGCATCCACTCAAATACGCTTAAAATGTTGTAGGAGCATGAACACATAATTCAATGATGTCAGAGGAGAACTTAAAAGAATGGACACTTGTTTTTCTCCAAGTATTGCCCTGATGAAGAAAATAATGCCAATAACAGTTTAAACCCAACTTTAAGATGCAAAATAAAGATTTTTCCTAGAGTATCTCTTTAACCTGCATATCTCTCTTTGACAGGTTTAATACCATTACTTGGTGAGTTCAGAAAATAGCGTGGCTTTGACTGTTACAGACGAGCAGTTCATAGAAATGCTTAGAGTTGGCAAGTTGAAGTAGATAAGATAAATTTTTCAAAGTAAATCCCATCCTGCTAATTATGTACCTAATACATCAGTGTGGGTTTCCCCAAATATCATACAATATCCACAAAGACCAAAAGCATAAGGACTGGATCCCAACTGAGCCCACCCATCATGAGGTCAGTAGAAGCCACATGAATTCTAACCACCCCCAAAACATCCTTCTACGGCTCTATTAGCAATTACCCCCAACTTTTCTACATTGACTTTCAGCTATATAGAGCTCAGCACTTCTACCTTCTCTGCCAAGTGCTTGGTGACCCAGGAAATTAGATATTTATATCCTTTAGGTCAAAGATATCAAAGGTCAAAAGTAGAATTATCAACTACCAAGCTAATTTCTAAATTTTCTGAATGTTCTGTGACTTCTTTATAAGCAAGCCAAACTTTATCCTTGTTCTTAATTTTTGTTTTTTTAGTTTTGAGTCCCTTATCATCTATAGCTCAAGTCCTCTACTTTGGAAGGAAGAGGGTGGTGGTGAGAGGGTAGGGTATTAATATCTAAACCATGTGTGAAATACTGCTAAGTGTTTGAATGTTTTCATTTATTCTTCATGGGTAGGTATTATCCCATTTTACTGATGAGGAAAGTAAGGCTCAGAGAAGTTAAATTATTTACCCAAGGTCAACTAGCAAGCATGTGATAGAGCTGGTCCTGGAGCTTAGGTCTCCCTGATCTTAAAGCTCTGCCCTTTGCATTCTTCCTTGTTTGCTCCCTATTTGTTGTAATTATTAGTGGCAGCAAGGAAGTTAGTTAGGCAGGGAAGTAGAAGGAGAACTTTAGGATTGGTGTAAGGTCTTTGTGATTCAGTTCTTAACATTGGGGGCATCATTATTTTATTGGAACTGCATCACACACCCATATTCAAATATAAATATAAAAATGCATTACCAAATTTAACTGGCATTTTTAAAAATTAATAACTAAAAGCAATGCTTATTTGGACTATATTTACCCAACAGGCATATAATTTTATATGTAAGGTTAAACCTTTCCTCAAACAATATCCTCTACCATTTCCCAAAGATAAGGCTTTTATTTTATATTTCTTTTGTATATGCTACAGCTCTGCATACTGCTATGTACCCCAGAGATCTATGTGTGAGTCAAGTTAAAATTAACAGATTTCCTTAATGCTATGTAATCAATACAGTGAAACTCAGTGTGGAATGAAGGTTATACAAAGTTGTAAAGATGTTTCACATCTCTAAAAAAGTTTCCAATTTCTGTTACTTACTCCAACAGAATATAAGCCTCTATCCTGTTTCTTCTTCTTATTTCAAAATGCCTATTACATAGTAGGTGGTCTATGAATGTTTGCTGAATTAAATACAACAATGTCAATATAATGAAATAATTTGATACTATTTATAATGGAACTTTACTTTTGACCAACACTCTTTTCTGTCAGTAGAAAATAAGTCAAAACATTCCATGGATATCAAATGTTACATCAAATACCATGTGCAAGTCCTAAGGCTCTTTGAACAACTTCCTTAAATGATGTAATATCTTTCTCCCAACAATTGGACTGGGTGTCACACTTGTATGCCTTTGAGAGGCACTGGAATGCCTGAGGAAGGAGAAAGAACAACATTCAGAATAACAAGTAGAATTCACATTTCAAACTCTGTTTCCTGGAAGTCATATGGAACTAATTCCAATGTGAAAAAGCAGCATCTGTGTTGTACAGCACAGCGTCTATTACTCTCACCAAAGAAGGGGTGGAAATGCACACCCAACGGCAACAAGCCGTGGCAAGAAATCAAATGGATGTACCTGGATTGAGACACTTCCCTGTAACCAGAAAGATATAAAGGCCAGGTTTGGAAATCTGTAAATATACAGATTTTCTCAGCATTTGTAGCCATCAGTTTAAAAAACCTGTTTAGAGAATGAGGCATGAACTTGGTTAAAACAATGAAACTGCTGGTAGATATATGTAATCTCACAGATGTTTAATGCACCCTCTTTCAAATCCTTGAGGGAGAAGTCACAGGTCAGAGAATTCTGGGTACTCTTAATTCCATATATGCAAGAAAGTCCATAATTCAAGGAGAAATGGAAGGACATGAAAGTAGGGTGTGCATGTGTGCAGGTGATACACGTTCTCTGGGCTGACAAGGCCACGGTGGAAGCCAGCTGTGTGGATTGAGGGAGGAGAGAATGGCTAAGAATCCCACAGATTAGCTGTGCCGTGGCTAATTCCAAACCCACGCAAGGAGTACATTTGATTTGTTGTGGGTGTTTTGAAAAGAAACATAAAACAATTATTCCAACTTTGGAAACTCTGCAGGCTCCTTTAAGTTCTAAGATAAGAGGCTAAAGGCATAACTTGAGTGGAACTGGTGTTCTATCGCACTTGTGAGAAAGGGCAGGGCAACCTTTGTAAAAGTATTATGTTTTGACTTAAAAGTTCTCTTCCAAGATCTTTATCTTGTTCATTTTTCTCTTTTCTTTTCCTAATCCCCATCTCAGATCTAAATACTCCTTCTCTCCTTGTACCCATCTACTGTAGTCTTTAGCAAGGTGCCTGCAGAAAGGGGTATGGAGTAAATAACAAAAGCCAACTCTGCTGCAGATTTAGTAGGGGTGGCCATTTCAAGAGGCCCTTTTGCAGGAAACAGGGAACAACTATGTAAGAAAACTTCATGGTAAATAAAAAGATGAATGTTACAAGTTTTAACCAGCCCACAATTCAAAGTACGTAGGTTAAAGACTGAATCAGAACTGAACTTAAGCATACTAATCTTATCTTTCAGATTGTTAAACTCTTCCTCCACCCATCAAAAAAGTAGATCTACTACAACATGTTCAAACGAAAGGCAAGGACTCAGGAGGAATGAAGGACTTGCCTTTTCATTTTCATCAGGCTTTTCACTCTGCCCATTTCCATATACGTGGGCATACAGCCTCCAGATTTCTCCATCATTTGTCACTCTTGAAGTCACTCTGCCAAATAACTCCTGCAGCTTTCCTTTGAGGCCAGTTGCAACATCTCCACTTCGATCAGTCATCCCATCAATCACTGCCCTGACTAGAATTTTAAGGACCTTAAAAATGCACAGAACAAACTGGTAAGTTAGAAACCAACAAACAATAACAAAAACAAAGAGCTATCTCACCATCATCAAAGACAATGACAATGAAAAACCTTATGAAACTTGTTAAGAGTATCACCTTTAAGCTTTTGAAAAGCAAAATAAAATTCAATCCTAAAGCACTCTCTAGGATCTCATGGTGACTACCTCTCTGATGTCCCTTCAAAAGCTTCCAGAGAGGGTTCTTCTTTCATTCAAAGGGCCCCATGTTTGGTGCTTGGCTCTTCTCACCTGGAACATTCTCTCTGAATGATTGGATCCACACCTATAGCTTCATATATATTGCTGAGTTGGCTTCACTAGTGTCTATGCAGCTCCAGCCAGATTCCCCTCTGGAGCTCCAGGACTGTGCACCTCAATACCTACCAGACAGGTTACACCAATATCCCTCTCCATCTATCCAAAGTGAAACATAGATCTCAAATTGATCTTCTTCCTGTAATCTCTAGGTGAGCCTATCCACACAGTTCCCAAAGCCAATAACCTGAGCATCAACCTAGATTATCTCCCACTTCTGCCACAACTACTAATTTGATTTTCAACATTCCTAATGTTGATTTGTTTGATTTTCAACCTTCCCAATGTTTTCAACATTCCTAATGTCCTATTTAGGACAACATTGAAAACAACGTTGTTGAAAACAATCCTAAATACAGCTTCTCCTACCTAAGTTCAGGCCTCATTAACTTCCATCTGGGCTGCTATAATAACCTTCTAACTCCGCTTAAAGAGGTCCTAGCCCCTCCTAATTACTAAATGATGAACCGTTAATGCATTTGCATTAGGCATGCGAAGTATCTAGCAAGTATCTCTTCTCTTTCCAACTACCTCAGGTTGGCTCACCATTTTTTTTTTTTTTTTGAGACAGAGTCTTACTCTGTTGCCCAGGCTGGAGTGCAGTGGTATGATCTCAGCACCACAACTTCCGCCTCCCGGGCTCAAGTGATTCTCCTGCCTCAGCCTCCCAAGTAGCTGGGACTACAGGTGAGCGCCACCATGCCTGGCTAATTTTTGTATTTTTAGTAGAGATGGGGTTTCACTATGTTGGCCAGGCTGGTCTTGAACTCCTGACCTCGTGACCCACCCGCCTTGGCCTCCCAAAGTGCTGGGATTACAGGCATGAGCCACTGCGCCCGGCCTAACTTCTTGGCTATCTTATTATCATCAGTCAGCCTTTACACATTCTATCCCAGATGCTTTGAATGCTGACAGATGGATTAAACTGCAGTCTGCACCAGGTTATATTATAAAAAGGCACATCTGTCATATCTACATTAGGCTGTGTATCTGAAGGCACAGAAAACACAACCGCAATCTTCCACTCCTTTGATGGTGGGACAGCAAAAGAACCAGCTTGAGGAAAGTACTGTAACACCATGCTAGTCAGTGCAGTCCATGGACCGACAGCACTGGCATCAGAGCTTGTTAGAAATGCAGAATCCTGGATAAAAATGCTGATCCATCTTGGACCAAGATTCTGCATTTCCAACAAGCTCCCAGGTGATGCTGATGTTGACGGTCTGCAGGGCACACTTCGAGAAGCAAGGCTCCAAGAGACAGCTGCCCACATCTTTAATTTTACCGTGAACTGCAGGGAGAGGATGGCATTTTATCATTCTGTATCACCAGTGTTTAATATAGTGCCTGGCATATTGCAATTGCACTGACTCAATAAATAATTGTGCCTGAAAGACTGAATGAATACAACTCTTTCAGAAAGCGTAGCTGAGAGAAATGCAACCAGTGTGAGATCTTGCTGTCTCCTCCTAGAACATTCTGATCCGTGCATGAGATGTGGCTGAGGAGTAGGGGCTCCTCTGGAACATGGATACTTTTAGGAATGTGAACTCAGATTCATGGTCTTAATTATATACAGTCATAAAAGAAGACAGAAAATTCAGTTGTGCTTTTTTCTTGTTTTGACAAGGTACATCATCTCTGTCTGTAAATTCACATTACAATCCCACATGTGTACCTTTGACTCTTAAAGTAATGAAATTCATATTACAATCCCACTGGTGTTTTAAATCTGAAAGTAACAATGCAGAAGAAACAGTCTGAATGTGTACTGCTTGTTTCAAGTGATCATTCTATAAGCATGTCAGGTATTAACATGTTTTGAAAAAGATGGTCTATTAAAATAGTTACTAACATGTACAAATGAAACACACTAATGAGTGATGCTTTGCTTCTTCTGGAATCCCACAGTTGGCTCAACATCCTATCCCTTCACTTTAGCCTACTGGGGAGACGATGTGGGGAGAGACAGCTTTTGGTGTTCTTGCCAATAAAAATGAAGAGCTGTAGTCCTGGCATTAAGGAGGGAAAAAGTTGGTAAAGTGCATTTGTGCCTCCTCTGTGTATGTGTGTGTGTTTGCAGGGGCATGAAGGGAACTGCAGAAGGGCAAGGAGGTGAAGCTTCTGTCTGTTGTGGGGGGTAGACAGGGGATAGAACTGTAGGTAGGGCAGATACTGAATGCCTCTGCCCAGTTCATATGCAGATACCACCAGAAGAGAGAGGAGGGAGGCAATAACCAATTTGTTTCACGCTCCCCATCTGCATGTTCAATGGCCAGTGAAATAGCTGGGCCTGGAGCTTAGAAAAGAGTTCCACATTGGAGGAATAGATAACGAGAGTCATTGAGGGTCATGGCAGATATTGCCTAAAGAGACTGTGTTGGGCAAGAATAAGGCTGAGGATAGAATCTTAAAGAACACAACATTTAAGAAGAGGGCAAGTAGGTTGGGCGTAGTGGCTCACGCCTGTAATCCCAGCACTCTGGGAGGCAGAGGTAGGCGGATCACATGAGGTCGGGAATTCAAGACCAGCCTGGCCAACATGGTGAAACCCTGTCTCTACTAAAAATACAAAAAAATTAGCAGGGTGTGGTGGTGGGTACCTGTAATCCCAGCTATTTGGGAGGCTGAGGCAGGAGAATCACTTGAACCCAGGAGGGGAGGTTGCAGTGAGCTGAGATTGCGCCACTGCATGCCATCCTGGATAACAAGAGCGAAACTCTGTCTCCAAAAAAAAAAAAAAAAAAAAAGAGGGCAAGTAGAGAACTCACTCATCGAACTGAAAAGGAGTGGCCAGAAAGGTAAGAAAGTGATGTCATGGAAACCAAGGAAGGAGAAAGTTACAAGGAAAGTCGATCTACAAAGGATCAGGAATGGAAGATTCACCTGGATTTGGCAATCATTAAGGGTGAGTGACCATAATCCAGAACCAAAGCCAGAACAAGGAAGGCAGGAGAGATCATGATTTCAGACAAGAGGCTTAAAAAGAAAGAAAAAACATAAAAACCAAGACGATTATTAACATCACAAAAAATGAAGAGAAACCCCCCATAATCATAGTATCCTATAATACTAATTTTCAATATCCTTTGCATAGGCATTTAGTGTATTTGTTTAACCAAAATTGTTAAAATAGATATATTAGGATGATGAGAAAGAGAAGTAGTGGAAGTGCCGGTATGACAGTTCTCATTTATTATAAAAAGATAAGAAGAAGTCAACAAATAATGCCTCATTTTGTTTAATTAAAAAATAACAGCAATATAGTAACTATTAATATGAAATATGGAAATGTGCAAGTAGCAGAAGAGACGCTAAAGGGTTTCTCCTTTTTTGGGAGAAGGATTTTGAAGAGTAAGGAGGGGTAAAGAAGGAAATTGGTATACTTTGTAATGAGCCTTTTACTATTATTTGGCTTGTAAAACTATATATCTGTTATTTTAATATACATTTAAAAACAGAGAAAAAGCAGACATAAATACATCTAAAGATTGGCAAAGAAGAAGAAAAAAATGATGACACACATGAATATTCATTTATTAGACTTGCCTTTAATGTCCCATAGTGGTGATTACCTTGAGGGTATTTGGGGGTAGTGGTGACTAAAAGAAGGAAGGGAGGGTTTGGGGAATATGGGGAGTGCTGGTAATGCTCTGACTCACCTGGTTACACAGGTGTTTTCACGAAGAAAAAATTCTTATGTTTACTTATGATTTGCATACTTTTCTGTATGTACACTACATTTCAATAAAAATTAATTTAAAATTATTCCCTGTACTTAAGAAAACCTCATAAAGTGAAGTAAAAATATGTAGTGTTATTTAAGTACATTAATAAATGAAGCTAATATTCAATCTTAAAAAGTGGTTCTAGAGTGATATCAACTTTTTTTTTTTCTTTGAGACAAAGTCTCGCTGTCGGTCAAGCTGGAGTGCAGTGGCGCGATCTTGGCTCACTGCAACCTCTGCCTCTTGGTTCAAGCGATTCTCCTGCCTCAGCCTCCCGAGTAGCTGGGACTACAGGCGCGTGCCACCATGCCCGGCTAATTTTTTCTGTATTTTTAGTAGAGATGGGGTTTCACCGTGTTAGCCAGGATGGTCTCGATCTCCTGACCTCGTGATCTGCCCGCCTCAGCCTCTGATAGCAATTATTTTTAAAAACCATTACAGTAATTGTATAACTTACTGGCTAATATTATCATTTTTATTCCCACTAAGTCAGAAAATTCAAATTCTGGTTATCCAGACTGACTGCAAAAGCAGTAACTTTTAATGTAACATATATATAACCTTTCTTTAGAAAATAGATATTTGAGATTAAAAGGAGTAAAGAGTGTTACGATAGTATTTCTTTGATTAAATGAATCACCCATGAGTACAATTTCCTCTTGGGTAGTCTACAAATTTACCAGCACTATACCCCTTTGCCTCATCAAAAGTGAAAAAAAATTTAAATAGGTGAATGTTTTTACCCACTGTTACATGTAAATTGTTATAAGTAATTAACCTATCAGCAACAAGTCAAAACTATAAATTACTACATATGTAATAAGTGGCTCAAGAGTAGAAAATTGAAGTTTAAGATTTTAGAGGTGGAATGACTCTTGGGGAAACAGGACCCAAGATATAGCCACAGGGATGGGTTGTCACTGAAATAAAGACTAAGGCCTCTGTTATGTCCAAAGTACTGGAGATATTATCTACCTAAACACCAAGTATCAAGATCAGCTAGATCTAGAATGGAGAGGAGGATACATAGTTGCTGAAGTAGGTCATGAACATGGGGAAGGGACTAGGAGCCTGGTAAATAGCAGTAATGAGCACAGGCTTTCTGTCCACTACATTACAGAACTGTTCCATCAAAGGGGCCAATATACAGGTAAGAGGTTTGAAAAGTGTGAAGCAATATAAACATATAAACTATTACAATTATCATTGATCCTCAACTACCTTACTCTGTTGGAAGTGGACAGTAACACCACATTGCTGGCTCACTCACTGTACTGCCCTGCCTGTTAGCTTACTTCCATGTTTCCTCATGGTTCAAAACAGAACTCAAACAGAATTCACCACCATGGTGTCAGCTCTTGATACCTCCCTACTACTTCTGCTGTGAGCACTCGCTTTGTGCCAAACCCTGTGCTAAGCACGTGACCTACCCGATTTCATTAAATTCTCACAATAACCCTAGGAAGCAGGTACTTTATTACCCCTACTTTACAAATAAAAAACCTGAGGCTTAAAGAGGTAAAACAAACTTTCTCATGGTTACACAGCAAGTGAGTCATGAAGCTGGATTCTGATCACCAGTGACCTGTGACTCCTGAGCTTAGATAAGGATGAGGAGATGAAAACAATGAGGCAGATAACACCTCTTACATATATAGCCCTTCCTATGTGCCACATGCTCTGTGAGCACATGTAACCCACCCAGCAACCCTATGAGGATGATGCTATTTTTATGTGCATTGTGCAGATGAACAAACTGGAGCACAGAGGAGCTGAAGAACCTCTCCCAGGTCATACCGAGGGAAAGCAGGCTTCAGGCTTGAATCTGAATTCAGTCTGAGTCCTGGATCCTGTTATCAAGCATTTGCTACATCAATTTACAAAGCACAGCTCCCCTCTCCTCTTTCTTCCTTTCTATTAAGTTCTTTTACATTGGAAAGGTTTCTCTTTTATGAAATATGTATGCTAGTAACTTTTATCATTTCTTTGCTAAATCTCGAATCAACCAGAACCAGAATGGGTTTTGTTTTTGTAATTTTTTTTTAAAATTAGAATTTCCCCCATGTCAGAGCTAATACAAAATTTAAAAAAGAAAATTCTTATTGGGTTCATCGGCCAATCACAAACACTACTAACATTAGAATAAATTTCTTTCTAATCTTTTTATTATATGTAAGTTTTATATTATAATACTATATAAACTGTTTTATCTCCTTTTTCACTGTAACATTATGCTTATTGGGTCCATCGGCCAATCACAAACATTACTAACAGAGTAAATTTCTTTCTAATCTTTTTATTATGTGTAAGTTTTATAATATAATATTATGTAAACTGTTTTATCTTCCTTTTTCACTGTAACATTAGGCTATAGAATTTTTTTCATGTTTTCCACATACCCTTTAAGTATAGTATTTTGATAGATTCAAGATATTCCACTGGACTGATAGACCATAATCTATTTAGCAATTCCCCTGCGCTTAGATCACTAGGCTGTTTCCATGTGCTGCCACCATTATCAGTAGTAGTATAAATAAAACACTTTAGTGCATATCTTTGTGCCTAAAGACTTTTTTATTACTGAACCTTTCCTTAGGTTAGAATTCCAGGAATGGAATTATGGAGTTAAGAGAATAAATATTTTAAGACTCGAGATAAATGAGGTATTCTCTAAAAGAGCTAAATCAAATTAGGTGCCAATGAATAGTACTGTGTATGAAAATGTCATTTAATTGCATATTACCAGCACTGAGTATATAAAATTTTTTAATCTTTGATATTTTATTCTACAAAAGGTATATACAGCTATTATTCTGAACTATGTTTCTTTCATTATTAGTTAAGTTAAACTTTTCCATTTCCTTAAACATTTCCAAATGTTTATTGACTAAATATATTTCCTTTCTAAGAAATTTGCATTTTTTTCTTTTTTTTTTTTTTAATTGAGATGGAGTCTCGCTCTGTCGCCCAGGCTGGAGTGCAGTGGCACAATCTCGGCTCACTGCAACCTCCAATGCCAGAGTTCAAGCGATTCTCATGCCTCAGCCTCCCGAGTAGCTGGGACTACAGATGCATGCCACCACACCTGGCTAATTCTTTGTATTTTTAGTAGAGATGGGTTTTCGCCATGTTGGCCAGGCTGGTCATTCCTGACCTCAGGTGATCCACCAATCTTAGCCTCCCAAAGTGCTGGGATTACAGGCATGAGCCACCGTGCCCGGCCTACATTTTTTTCTTATTTTGTACTGAGCTCATTTTTCCCCAACGTGAAGTTTTATTGTTAATCTTCATTATAAAGGAACACAAGTTGCCAACTCCTTCTGAATCCTAACCTTGCACAACATCAACCTTGCTTGAAAAAAGAGAAAGTTAATGATCTGAAAAAGTACAGTAAAACATGTGAGAAACCCTGGGGAGACAGAAGTGGGTTGGATCCTAATATGGTGGAGAACACAGCTCAGGTGGAAAAGTGCTAGGTGCTAAGGTTCACAGATGGGCTGAGAAAAGTGTTTATCTGTCCCTTTTTCTTCCACATCCTACTATCCATGACATTTACCATCAGCATGGAGAGACTGAAACAGCAGTGCCAGCCCAGTGCAAGGCAGGGACCATATGTGCACATCAAGGCAGAAGACCAGGCTAGGGTGGAGAGCAGACAGCAAGGGCTTGGGCAGCCTGGCCGGCGCCTAAGAGTGCCCTTCTACTTTGCCCTCCACTCACTGAGGTTAGATAACTACTCAGGAAGATGGGCATTGGAAAAGAGCAATGTCTAGTGAAGGTAAGGGAGGTTTCCTGAGGAACCAGGCCACTTGGTGATGGTGGGAGGTGGCAGTGGCAAAGTGTATCCAATGGGTGAGCTCCCCCTGTGGCCCAGCCTCACCAGGAAGGTCACACGTTAGGTCCTGGGCTTTAGCCCCTCCCATCAAGTACATATTACCAGTTGAACAGACAATACCCCAGGGAAATACGAGCCAACAGGAAAAAAATTAAGACATCCAAAAGTACAACCATGATAAAATAAACAAATTGAATAGACTATGTGAAAAAGAGTTAAAGGGTCATGTGCAGAAAATCTTGTAACTTGTTTTTATAATATGTATTCTCAGGAGGGTGAGAAGAAAACCAAGGGAATAGATGAGCCCCCTTGGGTAGCAATATATATGGGGAAGAAAAATAATTGAGGACTGAACTTGAGGTTGTTCTCACAGAGAAGGGAAGATGAGGATGAGTCTGCAAAGAAGATTAGGATGCAGCAGCTGGTGTGATAAGAAGTGTGGAATTCTGGAAGCCAACGGAGAAGAAAGGAGAAAGCAATGGTGTTTAATATTGCTGGAAACCTGAGGACCAGCAACTGTCCACTGGATGTGGCAAGTCGGAACTTGACAACAGCACTCTAAGTGGACTAGGGGAGATAAAACTGCAATGGTGTAAGTTCCAAAGAGGATGAGGAGAGGAAGCAGAAATAATGTGGAGAGACTCCTGTCTTGACGGATTGACTACAAAAAGAGCACCAGAGAAATGGGGGTGATAATAGGAGAAAAGGAAGTTTTAAAAATTATTTATACACAGTTTAAAACATTGGTAACTTTTAAAAACTAGGTAACTTAAAAACTTTTAAAAACTAGGTAACTTTTAAAAAGTTAAAAAAATTGGTAACTTTAAAAAACTAAATAAATGCATTTAGTGATATTTTCCCCTTTGTACTGTAACAAGTTATAAAGGTAAATTTTAATCCATGATGTTTATAAGCAAAGGCCCACTTGCCTTTTCATCTGGAAACTAAATCTAACAGTCTACTCCAAAGATAATTCTTTAATCTCTGTTTTTTTTTTCCTTGGGGTTCTGGACACCCTTGCGGATCTAATGAGAGTTTTCCATCCGCTTTCTAGAATATGCATATATCCATATACACAAATTCTTTCAGGGTATGTCAGGGAATGTCATAATCTGCTGAAGACTAATAACAGAAACTTCTCACAAATCCTAATTTGTCCCACATGACCTGGGATTCCAGTCTTATCTCCCAATATTGTATATGACTAAGTTTTTGTCTCTTTTGAAAAGTTTTATTAGTTTTCCATCAACTCCCTTCCTAGTCTCATCAGCTCTTTCGTCACTTCCAGATGTTCAAATCTCTGGTGGTGTTCACTAAAGGCAAGACTTTCATAGGAGTGGTTGAGGTCTTTCTGGTCTTCCCTTGGTGTAACTCTGTGCCTGTCACCTCTGCTACCACTAACAGCTCCCAGTGAGGTATTGGATCTACTCCCCTCTTCATGAACACCGCTGTTCTCAATGCTACTGCTACAACTGTTTTCTTCCTGAAACAGAGCACAAAAGCTGTGGTGCGCTGAATAACATTCCCCCAAAATTCACGTGCACCCAGAACCTCAGAATCTGACCTGAAATAGGGTCTTTGCAATGTAACTAGTTAAGATGAGGTGTCATTCTGGACTAGGGTTGGCCTAATTCCAATGACTTCTTCCTCAGAAGAAGGGAACACACAGAAGAGAGGAGATGAAAATGGAGGCAGTGATTGGAGTTAGGGTGCCACAGCCGAGGAACGCCAGGAGCCACAAGAAGCTGGAAAAGGTGCAGAAAGACTCTTCCCTAGCATCTGCAGAGGAACATGGCCAAGTCAACACCTTGATTTCGAACTTGACTTCTGGTCTCTAGAACTCAGTGGGGAGAACAAACTT
Source organism: Homo sapiens (assembly GCF_000001405.40). Taxonomy (NCBI): domain Eukaryota; kingdom Metazoa; phylum Chordata; class Mammalia; order Primates; family Hominidae; genus Homo; species Homo sapiens. Next base: position 32,801,254 of record NC_000002.12, on the reverse strand, counting down.
CTTTTGCTTTAAGGCAGCAAGTTTGTGGTAATTTGTTATTGTAGCCCTAGAAAACTAACATTGCATTTTTAAGCAGAAAGACTAAGACAGTTAAAACACTGAGAAAAACTCTTCCGAGGGCACTCTCCTGGCTTCTGGAAATCATTTTCTGGTTTTAGTTCAGAAAGCAATAAACATATGAATGTCACTGTCACAGCCTACCCTTACTATGGCTAGTGACCTACAGTACCCCACTCACTGGCCAGAAGTCCTTATTTTTGCACGTGAGTAAGTTTTAAATATCAAATCTCTTGATCTTTTCCTTAGAAGTATGGCTTTTTGTCATGGTAAAAAATGTTTTTTTCATCACCAAGCGAATAAAAATATTTGCCATACTTTCTTTTAGTGTTTCTATGGTGTCACATTTTCAATGATGACAATGATGATGAGAGGAGCTACATTTAAACAGTACTTGTGACCAGGCACGGTGGCTCACGTCTGTAATCCCAGCACTTTGGGAGGCCGAGGCAGGTGGATCACTTGAGGTCAGGAGTTTGAGATCATCCTGGCCAACACGGTGAAACCCCATTTCTACTAAAAAAATACAAAAATTAGCTGGGCATAGTGGCGCATGCCTGTAATCCTGGCTACCTGGGAGGCTGAGGCAGGAGAATTGCTTGAACCCAGGTGGCGAAGGTTGCAGAGAGCCGAGATTGTGCCACTGCACTCCAGCCTGGGCGACAGAGCGAGACTCTGTCTCAAAAAAATAATGATAAAAATAAAATAAAAATAAAGGATCAGGTGCAGTGGCTCACGCCTGTAATCCCAGCACTTTGGGAGGCCAAGGCGGGCAGATCATGGGGTCAGGAGTTTGAGACCAGCCTGGCCAACATGGTGAAACCCCATCTCTACTAAAAATAGAAAAAATTAGCCAGGCATGGTGGCATGCCTGGCCAGCTACTCAAGAGGCTGAGGCAGGAGAATCACTTGAACCTGGGAGGCGGAGGTTGCAGTGAGCTGAGATCATGCCATTGCACTCCAGCCTGGGTGACAGGGCGAGACTCCGTCTCAAAAAACACAAAAACAAAAAACAGCACTTGTATGTATCTGCCAGGTACTGTTCCCCGCCCTTTACATATATTAACTCATTTACTCCTCTTAATAGTCTATTAACTTATTTAATCCTCACAAGAATCCTACTAGGCAGGTATCGCTATCATCCCTATTTCATGAAACTGAGGCACAAAGTGGTTAAGTAACCTGCCCAAGGCGACGCAGCCAGTGACTGGCAGAAATGGGCTGCCTAACTCCAGAGTACGTGCTCTTCCCTACAACACATCCTGCTTCTCAAGAAATTCCAATTTAAATATTTTATTTAACTGAATTTATTTTGGTTTCAAGCTTTTGGTCCTAAACATTTGGCTAGCTATTTCAATACATATTAAATATCCTATTTTTATCCCACAGATTTAAAATGCCATCATTATTACGTATTAAATTCTCATTCCTACTTGAATCTGTTTCTGAATTCTCTATTCTGTTCCATTTCATTCCTGCAGCAGATGTTAACTCTTTATATAATAAGGATATTATTAGCTTTTTATCTTTCTTATTTGTTACAAATATCTTGTCACATATTTTTAAATGTGATCATAAAAATTCATTCCAGCTCTCTTTTACTGCTTCAGAGTTCAAGCACTTTTATCAGTATCTACTTCCATTCCCTATTCCTAATTTTTCTATGAGATTAAAAATATTTAGCATAGATTTAGTCTATCTGGAGTTTGTTTGGTGTATCATAAACTAATCTGGTAAACTTTTTAGACCTGGATGCTTAGAGAGATTTTTTTCCTCTACTCTTTCTCATTTTAGTAAAATACACATAACATACAATTTAGAATCTTAACCATTTTTAAATGTACAATTCATCAGTATTAAATACATTCATAATGTTGTACAACCATCACCAGCATCCATCTCCAGAACTATTTTCACCTTGTAAAACTGAAACTCTACCCCATTAAACCATAACTCTTCATTCCTCCTCTCTTCAGCCCCAACGACCATTCTACTTTCTGTGTCTATGATTTTGACTACTCTAAGTACTTCATGTAAGTGGAATCATACAGTATTTGTTTTTTTGTGACTGGTTTACTTCACTTAACATAAACCTCCTCCAGGTTCATCCATTTTGTAGCATGTGTCACAATTTCCTTCCTTTTTAAGACTAATATTCCATTGTATGTACATACCACATTTTGTGTATCCATTCATCCATAGATGGAAATTTGGGTTGCTTCCAGGTTTTAGCTATGTGAATAATGCTGCTATGAATGTAAGTATACACATTTCTCTTTGAGATCCTGCTTTAAATTCTTTGGGGTATATACCCAGAAGTAAAAGTGCTGGACCATATGGTAATTCCATTTTCGATTTTTAAAGGAACTACCATACTGTTTTCCACAGCAGCTGTACTGTTTTACATTCCCACCAACAGCGCACAAGGATTCCAATTTCTCCATGTCCTTGTCAACACTTATTATTATTATTATTATTATTATTTTTTTTTTTGAGCTGGAGTCTCGCTCTGTTGCCCAGGCTGGAGTGCAGTGGTGCAATCTTGGCTCACGGTAAGCTCCACCTCCCGGGTTCATGCCATTCTCCTGCCTCAGCCTCCCGAGTAGCTAGGACCACAGGCGCCCACCACCACGCCTGGCTAATTTTTGTTGTATTTTTAGTAGAGACAGGGCTTCACCGTGTTAGCCAGGATGGTCTCGATCTCCTGACCTCGTGATCCGCCCGCCTCGGCCTCCCAAAGTTCTGGGATTACAGGCGTGAGCCACCGCGCCCAGCCATTTTCTTTCTTTCTTTTTTTTGAGATGGAGTCGCGCTCTGTCGCCCAGGCTGGAGTGCAGTGGCGCCATCTTGGCTCACTGCAAGCTCCACCTCCTGGGTCCACTCCATTCTCCTGCCTCAGTCTCCCAAATAGCTGGGACTACAGGCGCCCGCCACCATTCATTTTTTTGTATTTTTAGTAGAGATGGGGTTTTACTGTGTTAGCCAGGATGGTCTCAATCTCCTGACCTCATGATCTGCCCGCCTTGGCCTCCCAAAGTGCTGGGATTACAGGTGTGAGCCACCGCGCCTGGCCTATTTTCTATTTTTTTTTTTTTAATTTTTTTTCTAGTAGCCATCCTAGTGGGTGTAAGGTGGTATCTCATTTGATTTGCATTTCCTTAATGATTAGTGGTGCTGCACATCTTTTCATGTGCTTATTGTTCATTTGTTTATCTTCTCTGGAGAAATGTCTATTCAACTCCTTTGCACATTTTTTAATTGGGCTGTTTGGGGGGTTTTGTTGTCATTGAATTTTAGAAGTCCTCTATATATTCTGGATATTATTCCCTTATCAGATATATTACTTGCAAATATTTTCTTCCATTCTGTGAGTTGGCTTTTTACTCCGTTGATACTGTTTTTGGTGCACAAAATTTTTAAATTTTCACAAAGTCCAATTTGTCTGTTTTTTCTTTTTATTGCCTGTGCTTTTGGTGTCATATCCAAGAAATCATTGCCAAATCTACCGTTATAAAGTTCTTGCCCTATGTTTACTTTTAAGAGTTTTACAGTTGTAGCTATTAAATTTAAGTATTTGATTCATTTTGAGTTAGCATGTGTATACAGTGTTAGGTAAGGGTCCAACTTTATTCTTTTGCATGTGGATATGCAGTTTTCCCAGGACAATTTGTTGAAATTTCCCCATTGAATAGTCTTGGCACCCTTGTCAAAAATCATTTGAGTCAGGCACAGAAGCTCACGCTTGTAATTTCAGCACTTTGGGAAGCAGAGGCGGGCAGGCTGCTTGAGCCCAGGGGATGGAGATCAACCTTGGCAACATAGCAAAACGCTGTCTCCACAGGAAAAAAAAAATTGTTAGATGTGGTGGCATGCTCCTGTGGTCCTAGTTACTTAGGAAGCTGAGGCAGGAGGGCTGCTTGAGCCCCGGAGTTCAAAGCTGCAGTGGCAGTAAGCTATGATCATGCCACTGCACTCCAGCCTGTTCGACAGTGTGAGACACTGTCTCTTTTTTTTTTTTTTTTTTGAGACAGAGTTTCACTCTGTCTCCCAGGATGGAATGCAGTGGCACAATCTCGGCTCACTGCAACCTCTGCCTCCCAGGTTCAAGCGATTCTCCTGCCTCAGCCTCCTCAATAGCTGGGACTACAGGCGTGCACCACCATGCCCAGCTAATTTTTGTATTTTTTTGTAGAGATGGGGTTTCACCATGTTGGCCAGGCTGGTCTCGAAGTCCTGACCTCAGGTGATCTGCCCACCTCATCCTCCCAAAGTGCTGGGATTACAGGCATGAGCCACCGTGCCCAGCCGAGACACTGTCTCTTAAAAAAAGAAAAAAAAATCCTTTGACCATATACACAGATTTCTGAGCTTTTAGTTCAATTCTATTGGTCTGTATGTCTGTCTTTATGCCAGTTCCACACTGTTTTGACTACTACAGTTTTGTGGTAAGTTTTGAAATCAGGAAGCATGAGTCCCCTAGCTTTGTTGTTCTTTTTAAAAGTTGTTTGGGCCATCCAGGGTCTCTTGAGATTCCATTTGAATTTTAGGATAGGTTTTTCTATTTCTGAGAAAAACCAATCCATTCAGATTTCCTATTTCTTCATGATTTAGTCTTGGTAGGCTTTGAGTTTCTAGGAATTTGTCTGTTTCATCTAGGTTATCCACTTTGTTGGCATACACTTGTTCACAATATTCTCTTATAATCTTTTTATTTCTGTAGAATCAGTAGTAATGTCCCCATTTTCATTTCTGATTTCAGTAATTTGAGTATCCTCTTTATTTTTTCACTGCAGTCTCTGCGCTGAATTCCAGACATCACTTTGGGTAGTACTGACAACTTAACAATGTTAAGTTTTTCAATCCATGAACATGAGATGTGTTTCCATTTATTTGTATCTTCTTTAATCTCTTTCATCATGTTTTCTAGTTTTTGTGGTCCAAGATTTTTACTTCCTTAGTTAACTTAATTCCAAAGTATTTTTTATGCTATTGTAAATGGAATTGTTTTCATAACTTCCTTTTGGGATTGTTCACTGTTAGTGTACAGAAATGCAGCTGATTTTTGTGTGCTGACTTTGCATCCTGCTACTATGCTGAATTCATTTATTAGTTCTAACAGCTTTTTCGTGGACTCTTTAGCATTTTCTACATACAAGATCACATCATCTGCAAACAGATAATTTTATTTCTTACCAATTTGGATGTCTTTTACTTCTTTTTCTTGTATAATTGCTCTGCCTTGAACTTTCAGTGCTGTGATGAACAGAAGTGAAAGCAAGCATCCTTGAATTGTTTCTGATCTTAGAAAAGAAGCTTTCAGGCTGGGAGCAGTGGCTCACACCTATAATCCCAGCAGTTTGGAAGGTCAAGGTGGGTGGATCACCTAAGGTCAGAAGCTCAAGACCAGCCTGGCCAACACAGTGAAACCCCATCTCTACTAAAATAATAATAATAATAATAATAATAATAATACAAAAATTAGCCGGGCATGGTGACATGTGCCTGTAGTCCCAGCTACTTGGGAGGCTAACACAGGAGAATTACTTGAGCCTGGGAGGTGGAAGTTGCAGTGAGCAGAGATCATGCCACTGCACTCCAGCCTGGGCAACAGAGCAACACTTTGTCAATAAATAAATAAATAAATAAATAAATAAATAAATAAATAAGAAAAGAAGCTTTCAGTCTTTCACCATTAAGTATGATGTTTGCTGTGGGTTTTTCATACCTGGCTTTTATTATGTCGAGGCTGCTTCCTTCCATTCCTACTTTGTTCAGTGCTTTTTAAATCAGGAATGTGTGCTGAATTTTTTCAAATGCTTTTTCAACATTAATTGAGATAATCAGGTGAGATTTTTTTTTCCCCTCATTCTGTTAATGTAGTATATTATATTGATCTATTTCATATGTTAAACCATCCTCAAATTCCAGGAATAGAGCCCACTTGGTTATGGTGTATAATCCTTTTAATATGCTAGTGAATCAATTTGCTAGTATTTTGTTAAGGGTTTTTGCATCAATATTCATAAGAGATTTTGGTCTGTGTTTTGTTTGTTTTTTTTTTTTTTCTTGTAATGTCTTTGTCTGGCTTTGGTATCAGGGTAATGCTGGCCTCATAGCATGAGCCAAGAGGTGTTCCTTCCTCCTCAATTTTTTGGAAAAGTTTAAGAAAGATTGTTGTGACTTCTTTAAATGTTTGATACAATTTACCAGTGAATCCATCAGGTCCACGGCTTTTCTTTGTTGGGAGATTTTTGATTCCTGATTCTATCTACTTACTAGTTATACATCTATTCAGATTTCTTGTTTCTTTATGATTTAGTCTTGGTAGGTTTTGTGTTTCTAGGAATTTATCTATTTCATCTAGGTTATCTACTTTGTTGACATATACTTGTTCACAATATTCTCTTATAATCTTTTTATTTCTGTAGAATCAGTAGTAATGTCCCCCATTTTCATTTCTGATTTCAGTAATCTGAATCTTCTCTTTTTTTCCTTAGTCCATCTATCTAAAGGTTTGTCCATTTTATTAATCTTTTCAAAGACCTAATTTTTAGTTTCATTGATTTTTCTTTATTATTTTTCTACTTTCTATTTCATTTATCTCTATTCTAATCTTTATTCTTATTTTCTTCCTTCTGCTAGCCTTGGGTTTAGTTTGCTCTTTAAGTTGTAAAGTTAAGTTATTGACTTGAAATATTTCTTGTGTTTTAAAGTAAGCATTTAGAGTTATAAATTTCTTCCTTAGCAATGCTTTCGCTGTGTCCTACAAGTTTTGGTATGCTGTATTTTCATTTTCATTCATCTCTAAGTATTTTCTAATTTCTCTTGTGATTTCTTTTTTGATCCATTGATTAAGAGTGTGTTGTTTACTTTCCATAATTTTGTGAATTTTCTAGTTTTACATCTGTTATTGATTTGTAATTTCATCCTGGGGTAGTCAGAGAAGATACGTTCTATGACATCTATCTTTTTGAATCTACTGAGACTTAATTTGCGATCTATCATATTGTCTCTCCTAGATAATGTCCCATGTGCACTTGGGAAGAATACGTATGCTGTTGTTGGGTAGAATGTTTTATATATGTCTATTATAAAATTCATTAACATACAAAATCTCTGCTTGTCTAACAGAGCCATACTCACCCCTTTTGGTTGTTGATGTCACAAAATTACATCTTCATAAATGGTGTGCCCCAAAACATACACTAATATATTTAATGCATTAGTCTCTTAAATTACATAGAAAGCAAAATATGGAGCTACAAAACAAAGTTACAATACTACTAGCTTTTAGACTAATAACTGTTTTTTTAATGTATTAGTCTCTTAAATCATATGGAAAACAAAGAGTACAGTTAAAAAAAACATTGTAACAGGCCGGGTATGGTGGCTCACACCTGTAATCCCAGCACTTTGGGAGGCCGAGGTGGATGGCTCACCTGAGGTCAGGAGTTCAAGACCAGCCTGGCCAACATGGTGAAACCCCGTCTCTACTAAAAATACAAAAATTAGCCGGGCGTGGTGGCAGGCACCTATAATCCCAGTTACTCAGGAGGCTGAGGCAGGAGAATCACTTGAACCCAGGAAGGAGAGGTTGCAGTGAGCCGAGATGGCACCATTGTATTCCAGCCTGGGTGACAGAGCGAGACTCCATCTCAAACAACAACAACAACAAACATTGTTACAATAATATTAGCTTTTATAATTGTTCTTATATTTATCTTTATTGAGATTTTTATTTCTTTATCCAGCGTTGAGTTATTGTCTAGTGTCCTTTCTTTTCACCCTGCAGGACCCCCTTGAGCATTTCATGCAGGGCAGTTCTAGTGGTAATGAACTTCCTTAACTTTTGTTTATCTGGGAATGCCTTAATTTCTCTCTCACTTTTGAAAGGCAGTTTTGCCAGATAAAGGATTCTTGATTGACAGTTTTTTTCTTTTAGCACTTTGAATATATCAGTCCACTGCCTGCTGGCCTCCAAAGTTTATTATGAGAAATCTGCTGATAATCTTATTAAGGATTCTTTGTATGTGACAGATTTCATTTTAGTCAGTATAAACAGCTCTATAGCCCTCATATCCCACCCAAACCAATACTATCCCACTGAGTTCATATAATGGCCTTTAAATCCCTTACCCACATCTTGATTTCATTTAGGTAATAGTAGAACTTATGTTTCATTCTCTGTCCCAACCCTATTTCTCACCTCCATCAGGAACCACACTTAGGGAATGCAACAAGCAGAGAATGACTGGGAAACTAACACTGGCCTGTGAAGAGAGTTGAAGGCCTCTCACATAGAGGAGCGGCAATTCCAACATAAATGTAGAAGAATCTCCACAAAGAGAAATGTATTAACTATTCGTTTCCCAACACTAACCTTGACTTCCTTGGGCTAGTCTCATCAAAGTCTTGGCCTAAAGTGCAAGGCACTGGCCCTTTGAATCCTGGAGGTCCTCAAAGCAGGAAGGAATAGGACTGCCTTAACCCATTACAAAAACTACCAGGAGGGCTCCAGGCCAAGAATGAAGCAATTTCCCACCTCCCCTGCTTGGCTAGCTCCCTGCTCCACTTGGAGCTCTCTAAGTACTTGTTCTGTTTCCTGGTCTGATAACCCTGACCCTTGGCTTCCCCAAACCTCAGTTATCAGAGAGAGATAGGCAGTTTAGCATTGTCTTTTTCAGTCCTTCAAAAAAAAACCAAAAAACAAAACAAAAAACAGTTCTTAGACTGTGGAAAGGGCTTTAGGTTAAATACGCCAGATGTCAAGCCTTAGCTTTACTGCTCGCTAGCTATAAGAAATCAACCTTATTAATTCACTTTGCTGAGCCTCAGGTACCTCAACAGTTAAATGGAGAGAATACCTATTTTCCAAAGCTATAATTTTTATAACATATATCCATTCTCTCCTCTTCTCTTTACTTTCGGGTAATGCACAGCCAGCAAGTGTCCCAGAACTTCAATTTCATTGGCAACTTGCCCCACTGCACATCAACACCATCTTCTCCTGTCCCCAAAGAAAGCATCAAATAAAAATACACACAAAGGACAACCTCAATATGCAAGAATACATACTGTATGATTCTATCTATATGGTATTCAAGAAAAAGCAAAACTAAACTGTGGAGATGGAAATCAGAAAGTAGTTGCCTCATGGGGGAAAGAGGTGGTGTTTCAACTGACTGGAAATGCATGTAAGAGAACTTTCTGTAGTAATGAAAATGTTCCATAACTGTTTGGGGTGGTGATTACATAAGAATACATGTAGTTAAAATTATCTGCAAATTATTTTTTTATTTTGTTATTTTATTTCATATTTTTTTGAGATGGGGTTTTGCTCTGTTGCCCAGGCTGGAGTGTGGTGGCACGATCATAGCTCACTGAAACCTCAAACTCCTGGGCTTAAGCAATCCTCCTGCTGTAGCCTCACAAGTAGCTGGGGCTGTAGGCACATCCCACCATGCCTGGCTTATTATCTGCACATTATGTCTGAATTTTTAAAAACCTTTGTTAGGTATAGTTCACAAGCACATTAATATGATGGGAAAATGTGCTTTTGACATAAATCTTCCCCCACAGACTTCAAGGCGTGACAAAGAAAAAAATAAGACATGCCTACCTGTGATTTCTGTCTTTGGTTCCTACTAGCCAAATGACTGCTCAAGTTATATAAGCTCTCTGGGTTTCATATTAATCAACTATAAAATGAGGAGTATTTACTATCCACCTCACATACTGTATGCCCAATAAAAGATAACCTGTGTTAAGTGGCAGAAACATAGTAAGCACTCAATATATATTAATCCCCTTTCCTTCCTCTTCCACATATAAACAACAAATGAATGTCAATAATGCAATACTTAAATTATTTTCCCAAAATGTTGCCCAAGGTATCCAGAAAAACAAAAAAGGAAGAAAAGGAAAAATATCCCAACAAATCAACATCAGAATTTACCTTGGGGAAAGAAGTATGGCTATATATGAGGATTCGTCTGCAAGGATATTCATGACATTATTTATAATAGTCAAAAACTGGAAAACTGAACAGGAACTAATTATGTAGGAACATGAAAATCAGTTTTATGATAGATGAATAAAAATATGTATAATCTAGAAATAAATACAAATAAGTGCTATTATAGAAAAGCATTCCTGGGTTTTACCAAACTATACATTAGTCAAAATTAGGACAAAGGTGTTTTTCAACATAGTACTGGAAGTCCTAGACAGAGCAATTAGGCAAGAAAAAAGAAATAAGAGATATTCTAATAGGTAAGGACTGAGCAAAACTGTCTCTATTTGCTGACAATATGATCTTAGCGAAAACCATAAAGAGTCCATGTAAAAACTATTAGAACTGATGAAATAAATTCAGATACAAAATCAACATACAAACATCAGTAGCACATCTATAATACTAATAACAAACTATACAGAAAGGAATGATGGTCACTAGCGTCAGGGTGGGGTGGAGGTGGGGTGGGGAGGAAATGGGGAATTGTTGGGGAAAGGATACAAAGTTTCAGACAGAGGATTAAGTTTGAGATCTTCTGCACAGCATAGTGACTACAGTCAATGATAATGTATATTTCAAAATACCTCAGTAAAATGTCAAATATGTCACCATAAAAAGATAGGTAAACAAGGTGGTGGGTATGTTAATCAGCCTGATCTAATCATTCCACATTGTATACACATATGAAAACATCACATGGTACTCCATAGATGTATACAATTAGAGTTTGCCAATTAAAATATTATTAATAAAATTATAAAATGGATAAACAAGAAAGAAAATGATAAAGGTAGTATATCTACTCATTCTTCAATTACAAATAGTGAGGAAAAAACAGAAAAATTTGAGGCTAATTTACCCTATGTCTGTATTAAAATAAGCATGAATTTATACACACACACAAAAAAAAAATTTAATGGCAATAATCCACATCCATAAAATAGAAAAAAACAGGTACAGGATTAGAACATGTTACATTGGAATCAGAACACAATTTTGCTATATTGAAAATTCCCCATGATTACAGGAGTAAAAAGCTAAGACTATGACCACTAAAATATGTTTGAAAAAATCTACTTAAGATAAAAGTTAAATCACGTTATCTGAATTCATACTAGGAAAATATAGCTATTTTTTTTAGATTTTTTTTTTCTTTTCTGAAAAATGCTCAAATGCATCTCTATGCATTTTGGGTCCTTTTATTCTTTCTTAGGGAAGGCTCCTGAAAGACTTCTCTTTTTTTTTTTTTTTTTTTTTTTTTGGAGACAGGGTCTTGCTCTGTCATCCAGGCTGGGGTACAGTGGTGTGATCATGGCTCACTGCAGCTTCAACCTCTCCAGCCTCAGGGAACCCTCCCACCTCAGCCTCCCGAGTAGCCACAGGTACATATTACCAAGCCCAGCTGAATTTTTTTTGTATTTTTTTTGTAGAGAAAGGGTTTTGCAATGTTGTGCAGGCTGGTCTCAAACCCCTGGGCTCAAGTAATTTTCCCGCCTTGGCCTCCCAAAATGCTGGGATTACAGGTAGAAGCCACTGCACCCAGCCGGCTGAAAGATTTCTAAGCAAATGTTCTTAAAATTCCAATGATTTTGATTTGGCATCCAACAGGGCAAATCACAACTGAAAGTTTTATCAGAATCAACTATCTACATACTCAGGTTATTGTTACCAAAATTATATCCTTTGGTATCTATAATACCACTGTTACTACCAATAGATAATTCTAAATATCACCTCTCTCCCTACACATTTACAGATACTCAAATACAGAAGTATCATCTAAACATTAGCAAGAATGTTTTTTCATCCTGAGAGAGAATGAGACTCCTAATCTGGGGGTGGTAGGGGTGGTAAGAAAAGAGAAATTTAAGTAACATTCTTCAATACCTTTTCAGCTATTGTAACCACTTCTGCTTCACTTTTTCTTGCCTTTCTTTTAGAATACACGAGTTAGCAAGATTTGCCATACTTAATTCATCTAAGTTAACTAAAATCGGCATTATCTTGATGACTTTATAACTCTATGATGTACAAGTAACAGCTTTTCCAAACAATCTTTGAATAGTTATTTTGTCTGATATTTTTAATTTCCTTAAAACAAGCAGGTGGAGAGATCCATCCATCCATCCAGAGTTAGACATAGCTTATGACAGTATAATCCTATCCCCCACAGCTGAGGTGAGAATTAAATGAGCTAATACATGTGAAGTGCTTAGGATAGTTTCAGACACACGGCAAGCCCTCAGTAAATATTAATTATTGTTATTTTACCACATACCACTTTGACCTGCTCTATGTGCCTTGGGAAGCGAAGGAGAATAAGAGCAAATAGAAAAGCCACTTCCTTTCATGTGTACATGTAATAAGTCTGTCTCTTACTGGATGAGAGAGGCCTAGACCTATTTGGGTACCTTATATAAAACAACTTCTATTGGTGCCAAGCATGAAAGGATGACCAGGATTTTCTCAAGATCCAAAAAGCCAACCTGGTGAGCCAGTTGTTACTAATCCTTAGCAGATATGAAGGAGATTACTGGGGTTAAAGTATAGATTTAGAGGGGAAATCCCACTCACAACAGAAAGACAAGCAGATTAGTTAGAAAATGGAGGCACAGGACAGAAGATTAACAGGATCAGACTGACCAAGGAAGCCAATTCTAAGACAATTAAGAAAGAGATGACACAGCCAAGTTATCAGCAGTAATACCAAGAGGATAGAAAAGCAGACTGACAGCTTGAAGAAGTCCCCTGTCTAGCTTATCAGGAAGGAGGGGAGCTTCACACTCCTTTCTGACTTGGTGTGTAAACTAATTCAGCCTGGCCCTAGAGGACTTCTAAGGTCCCTTTTTGCTCTGACAGTGTGTGATTCTAAAGAATGCTGGAATTGAGCCAGCAGCGATGTCTAAATGAGGAGTGTTGGATTTGAATGTTTCATGTACATTTTTTTTAATATGAAAGAAAACAACAGAATTTCTTTCAACTGTAAGATGGAATATACTACAAATATAAATAATTTACATTCTCCTTGAGATTTTAGGAACAGGTTTCAGAAATCTTTCCTAGTAAAGAAAGATCTTAAAAATCACAATTGCAGTAAACAAGAGATATGCACTATTTTCAGCAGTCACAATATACTGAGATCTGTTCAGAGTCTCATCAGTGCCCTTTGCCAAGGTGCTAAGTGTAGAAAAGGAAGAACTATCTCAATGGAAAATTTCAGCAGTGTTAACAGGACAACTATTGACTGTCAGGGGACTGTGCAAACAGATTCACTAGAGCCCCTACCCTTTCTAGGGATGTAAAACTCTGCTATCTCTCCATTCACTTGGCTATCATTCCATTCAGTTTTGTTTATTTATTTATTTATTTATTTAGAGACAGAGTTTTGCTCTGTCACCCAGGCTGGAGTGCAGTGGCATGATCTCAGAGTATCACTTTACACTGAAGACAGCATATTGTCTTCAACTACAATTAAACCAAAATGGTCTTTTTTATTTAATATTTTGGATGACACAACAGCTTTGAATCTCCCATACTTTCTGGAGGGATAACTTTATTCCACCAAACACAGCACCATCTCATGAAACATTGCAAAGAAAATGTTAGCCATCCTCTATATATTGTTCATACCATCTGAAGGTATGCAGTAAATGCTTGTTAAATGAATGAACAAGTGAGTATAGGATTTATTCCAGCTACCAAAAGTCAGAGAACACACAGAGATACCCAAAGTACTAAGTAACACAGTGTTTTATTTAGTTTCTGCAAAGTGACTATATATGTAACCCACATATCAGATTTTCATAACTGAGTCAGAGTAATATTCAGTTTATGACTGTACAAACAAATTTGACATTAGAATAGCAGAATTCTATATATCATGAAGAATATTTGACTAGAAAAAAATACCCTTTTCATATGTTACATGTGTTTAACAAAATTTTCCTGTGCATATTCAAGGAAATAATTTATACCATATGATCAAGGATTAGTATCAAACACAAACTGAAATAACGGAATAGGAATATCCTACCTGAACATCTTTGTATTTGTCACGTAAGTCCAAGAGCCGGTGATAAGCTTTAATGGCTTCTGAAAATTCCCCAACGTCAGTGCTGGTGAGGATGTAGTTTTCCCAAATCTGCCAGTGTTCATAGTTACACTTGAGAGCTTCTTGTAAAGTTCTAAAAGCTTTTACTCTATTGAAGGTCAAATTTTAAAGAGAGCAATAATGAACTCTTTTTTTATTAGAATAAAGCATAGCTAAATGTATAAAATACTAATGTGGACTGTCCGTCCTTATTCGTTCATATAAACAAACAGAATTAGAGACCCAGACAACACAAAACCAACTCAAACTTCCCTACAAAATTCAGTGACAGACCCTATGGCATATGTAGCATACATACAGAGATATTCCTTTCCTAATCTATTTACTGGTAACAAGGACATTATTTTAAAACTAGGTATCAATCCCAGTATCACCTCAGGAGAAGGCACACTCAAGTTCCAAATCTGGAGTCAGAGTGGCCAAGCAAGCACAATTGCAAACCTGTAAGACAAAAGGTGCAGACAGTAGTGGAGGGACCAGAGGCAAGGAGGTCAAAACAAAACAACACACTCCTCATGAATCTGCAACCAAAATGCTGCAAACCAAAATTCTACACCCTGTGAGAAAAAAACCTTCAGTCAACAAAACTAGTCAACAGGACATAAATTTACTAACGACAAAATTTTAAGGTGGCCAGGCATGGTGGCTCACATCTATAATCCCAGCACTTTTTGAGTGGCTGAGGTGGGTGGATCACCTGAGGTCAGGAGTTCGAGACCAGCCTGGCCAACAGAGGCTAACCCCATCTCTAATAAAAAATACAAAAACAAACAAACAAAAAAAGCAGCTGGGCATGGTGGCATGTGCCTGTAATCCCAGCTACTCAGGAGGCTGAGACACAAGAATCACTTGAACCTGGGAAGCCGTGGGTGCAGTGAGCCAAGATCACACCCCTGCACTCCAGCCTGGGCAACAGAGCAAGACTCCATGTTAAAAAAAAAAAATTGATTTTAAGGGGGAGAGGGAGGAGTGACAAAAAGTTTTTCTTAATTGTTTAACAATTTGTCAAGCCTTTAAATAAACTTGTTTAGAATACTGAAAGAGACAAAGAAATAATTTACATTGAAAAGGAACAGAAAATTGTGAAACAAAAACAGGGAGAAATGAAATAAGAACAAGGAGATGTGAATAAAATAACTGGAAATTTCAGTATTGAAAGAGGCAATAAAACAACAACAGGCCAGGCACAGTGGCTCACAACTCTAATCCCAGCACTTTGGGAGGCTGAGGATGGTGGATCACAAGGTCAGAAGATCAAGGCCATCCTGACCAACATGATGAAACCCTGTCTCTACTAAAAATACAAAAATTAGCTGGACATAGTGGCACATGCCTGTAGTCCCAGCTACTTGGGAGGCTGAGGCAGGAGAGTCGCTTGAACCCGGGAGGTGGAGGTTGCAGTGCGCTGAGATCGCGCCACTGCACTCCAGCCTGGGCAACAGAGCGAGACTCTGTCTCAAAAAACAAAAAACAAAAACAAAACCCTCAATAGCTAACAAAAACTAGAATGCACATAGTCAAGGAGAAACTGATGCATTGGAAGATAATAGTAAGGAGTTCACACAGAATTCGAATTATAAAATAAAAGCTGGAAAGAGAGGAAAGAATGAGAGGTAAGACTCAAACATACATCTGATAGAGATTCTACAGTAAACAAATGCAGAGCATGGCAGGATTCTTTATATCCAAAGATAAAAGCAGAGAATTTTCCAGAAATGAACAAATTTCAAAAAAAATTTTGATCATAAATTCTATGATCAAAAGTATATTTCACATACTGAGCATTATAAGTAAAGATAAATGAACATCTAGAAATATTGTGTGAAATTTAGGAAAGATATTCCTAAAATCTACAAAGAAGTGAAGACAGATGTTTATTTCATCAGCAGTAAGATGACAGAAGACAACAGAATACTACTTTTAAAGTGCTGAGTGAAAATAACTGTCAGCCAAAATTTTATCATCAGCTAAACTTACCACTCAAGAGTAAATGCAAAATGAAACATTTTTAGATATACAAAGGTTAAGAGCATTTACCATCTATTGACTCTAAGAGAACTATCTCAGGGATTCCTTCTTGCAAAAATACAAGGGAACTCAAAAAGAAAGGAAACATGTCTTCAATTTCAGTCATAAATTGTTCCATGGAATATTTTTTTCTTTTTTTCCTTTCTCTACTCTACCACATCACCACCTCCATCTAATAACAACTGCCTCCAACAGTTTTGGACCAAGACTCCCCAGCTCTCCCATCCACAGGGGTTGGGGGTGAACTCAACAAGTAAAAATCCACACCATGAGGATTATCCTTTTTCCTATATGTCCTCCCTTATGATCCCCCTAATCATAATTTCCTAGCCTCAAAATTGTTCCATGAATCCTTTTTTCCTTTTTGGTAAATACAGCTTCTTTGTAAGGTGCTTCACTTCAGGATTCACTTATCAAAACCCCTCTATAGTAGAGATATTGCACCATTAAAATTACATCCGAATATAGACATTTTTACATGGGACTGATAGGAACATGATATCGAGGGGAATCAGTTGAAACAGCAAAGAGAGCACTTTAGTGAAGAATCTTGTGACCACAAAAGGATAAAAGAAAGTTTAATGGGCCGTTTTAAGGCATGAATAGGATCTTCTGAGAGAAGCATTAATAATTGCCTCAGAAGTAACAATCCCATTAGCTTTGTCTAGAACCTTAGCAAAGAAAGAAAAGAGTAAACAGGAAAGAATAAAGAAATGATTTATCTCAGACCTTACAACTCCACCTTTGCATGAAAACCTATTTGTGGAGCTGCAAGAGGTAAGAAAGTCGAGAAACAATATGCAAGAACCCCTAAGAGAGAAAGCAGAATTCCTAACATGATTGGGCTGGAAGACAAGGTATCAAGAGCTTCACTATGTACAAACTTATCCGGGTTGCCAGAAAAACTCACTGAGATCATTCTACAACTATGACAGGGACTTCCGAGCCTGTTGCTTTAAACCAAAAAGGTCTCCAGAGAGTTTTAGCACTATCAGTTGCAATCAAGAACATAATATGATCTTCTAAAGAGAATGGTAGAACAGATAGACTTTATTTATGTCATCCAAGAGCAGAGGCAGCATTTCATGATCTCTACGTAATATGGATTTAATGATGTCTTCAGAAATTATCTTGTGATTCCACCAAGAAAAATTAAATTAAGTTTGAAAGTAAGGCCAAATAAAAATGAAAATATATCCATCCTTTAATTTATTAGAGTTCTGGCAACAGCAGTCCTTGTCTCCTCCCTTTCCTTCGCTTTTCATAGCCAGTCAATAAGCCCGTTTAGTTGGTTTTCTCCTTTATAAAGAGTTTGGCATCTGCCCCTTCTTTTTCCACTCTAGTTATCTCATGCCTGAATTGTTACAACAGCTGTGTCCTAACTGGTTTCCCAGCCTGCAGTTTCCTCTAGTCTGCCTCATATACTGCCACCAGATAAATCTTCCCCAAAAGCTTCTTTCTTCATGAGATTACCACACTGAAATCTCTGGCTTCCTATTCTCAACAGGACAGTCTCAATCATTGGTCAAATAATCAGAAGATGCAGCAATTTTACTTCAACCTACCTTTCTAACCTTATCTCTCACCGTATATTTCACATCATAGCTGGACTATTTTGCTTCTTATCTCCTAAAATACTACATTCATTCCTGTCATTCTGCATTTGGTCACATCATTTCTCTTGCCTAAGAGGCTCCCCTCTGTCCCTTCTATCCATCCTTCAAATTTCTGCTTGAGTCCAACATTCTCTCAGAAGCATTTCTGATCCAGGATGACATGATTTCTCTCTTCTTTGATCCTCACAAGACTAAATGAGTGGCTGGCACATAATAAGTGTGCTACAAGTATCATGTATGATTATTTTAGCCCTCTTTATATTCTCATTTGGTATTTGCCACAGATAGCTTATATACTAATCAATTTTTTAAATAAGATGGCGTAGTATTTTATTTTTTAAACCTACATTCCCTGAAGACATTGGTTCATATTTATTTATATTTCTCAATAATGTCTAGTACAAAGCAAGCAATGAATAAAAATAACTGTCAACTGAGTTGACCAACTAAACATATGTTTGCTTTTATCATGTAATAAAATGTAGAATGTAAAACTTCAGTAATAAATAAAGATTTCAAGTAACATTTCTTATTTTATTACATATGAAATGTTTTTAAGAAATAAACTGTATATTTAGAATTCAAGTTAATTTAGTTTGAATTAAGTTTTTCTACTTAAGTTATTCTATTTCATATACATGGGCGAGAAAGGTAAAACAAGGAGAAACATTGAAACAATGTTCAGTTGTAGAAAATCTCATTCATTTATTTGGGAAGCAAATTTCTTCATATTTGTCTGATGTACTTACTTTTGTTTTAATCGGATATAGGAAGTTGACAAATTGTTCCAAGCTTCAGCATTCTGAAATGATAGAGAACACAGTTAATTAACTCTTCTCATTTAGGTAAAATTATTGCTTAAACCAAAAGTACAACACACTCTCCTAGTCCAATATATGCTCTTTAAAACCACAATTTTCAATAAGAGTGTGTTTAAAGGTATATGGCAAAATTAAATCAAACTGAACTTTTATAATTTAGAAAAAGGTTAAAACAATCAACTATGCAATGTAACTATTATTGTACCAATTAGCAATTCAGTTAAGATTTTATTTTCAAATTTAGACTTACAAAATAACTAATACAACATACTCTATATAGTACATAGATTTATTACAAAAAAGGCAATGCAGTATACTGTTTTTTCCTATCTTAAAAATTTTTGCCATTATACTGTCATCCTTCTTCACCGGATAGGGGGGTTAAGAAAAAATCTGTTCTCCAGTGTTACTACTAAGTATTTCATCCATCAAAGATATTTCTCTACCTATTCCTCTACCCAATGACAAAAATAAAGCAAAAATGAATGTTTTTTTAAATCAGCTTAATCAGGTTAAATTTATACAAATGTTGATTCAAACAAGAATGATATAAATTATCTATTTCTCTTTGTTCCACTTTTCATCTAATATAGTATATATCATTCTCAAGTCCCACACATATGACTCAAAAATTAAGTGGCAGTGGACTTCCACTTCCAGACTTGGCAAAATTAGTAACTTTTTGAAGTCTGGCAAAGAATAACTACCAGAAAGCTGTGAGCTGAATGGAGATTTTGGAGGTCACACTGTGCTAGAAGTTATTCAAATTCTAAACTAGCAAAACTGGAGAGTTCTTATTGATTGCCCATGGCATTAAATTCAATCCCAGAGAGGTTATACCTTAAGAAAAGGTTATTAGAGGGCTGGGTGCAGTGGTTCACATCTGTAATCCCAGCACTTTAGGAGGCCAAGATGGGAGGATCACTTGAGGCCAGGAGTTTGAGACTAGCCTGGTCAAGAGAGCAAGGCTCCATCTCCATTGATTTTTTTTTTTAAAGAGTTATGAGAAAATAAGGACAACTCCAGACCCACTTTAACAAGCTTAAAAACAAGCTGATTTAGGAATAATTTAACTGAATGCCAGAATAAAACTCAATCTTCCTTAAAAGAACAGAATAAAACCAAGAAGCACAACAGCACAGCATCCACGAGGTGTAGAATACAATTTTTTTAAAAAATGGCGGACATGGGAAGAAGCAGGAAAATTTCCTTCATAACCAAAGGGAAAAAATATCAGTTAATAAGAAACAGTACCAGAAATGAAAGAGACGTTGAAATAAGCACAGGATTTCAAAGCAGTTATTATAAACATGTTCAAAGATTTAAAGGAAAACATGAACATAATGAGAGAATGTTTGGGGGAATGTTAGTAGAGACATTAAAGCTGTTAAAATATCCAAATGAAAGCAGCCTGACTGCTGGAACTGCTTGTCGTAACCTGAAACCAGTTTTATCTGCAGCTTCTGAGATAATTTGCTGAAACTCTGGGACTAATTTTGCACTCTGCCATCCCTCATCAATGGAAGCTTGCCAGCTCCCCAAACCCTTACTGTAAGTGCCAATGAATTTCTCAAAGAGCAATATGTAACATTTCTCCTTTTAATAAAACTTCTAACCTTCTCCTTGTTCTTCAGACATTCAAAGACTACCTGGCATGCATATACGCCCCAAATTGCAATTCTTTCTTCTCAAATAAAACATTAAATTTAGATCTTTTATATAGAACATTTTAAGGAGTCCACAAAAAAAAAAAAAACACCTACTAGAAGTAATAAATGAGCTCAGCAAGGTTGCAAGATATAATTAATATATAAAAATCAACTGTGTTTCTATATGCTAACAATAGACAATCCAAAAATAAAATTTAGACCTGGCACAGTGGCTCACATCTGTAATCCCATCACTTTGGGAGGCTGAGGCAGGTAGATCACCTGAGGTCAGGAGTTTGAGACTAGTCTGGCCAACATGGAGAAACCTCATCTCTACTAAAAATACAAAAATTTGTCAGGCGTGGTGCTGCACACCTGTAATCCCAGCTAATCGGGAGGCTGAGGCAGAAGAATTGCTTGAACCTGGGAGGCGGAGGTTGCCGTAGGCCGAGATTGCACCACTGCACCTCAGCCTGAGCAACAGAGCAAGATTCTGTCTCAAAAAAATAAAAAATAAAATTAAGAAAATAATTCCATTTATAATAGTATGAAAAAGGATAAAACACTTTGGAATAACTTAACAAAAGAGGTGTAAAACTTACACTCTGAAAACTATAAGATATTAAAAGAAATGAAAGAAACCTAGAAAAATGTAAAGACATTCCATGTTCATGGATCAAAAGACTTAATATTATTAAGATGGCAGTACTCCCCTTATTCACCTGCAGATTCAATATAAGGTCTTTTGGGGAAATTTACAAAGCTAAAAATCCCATAGGAAAATTCAAGGAATGCTGAATAGCCAAAACTATCTTGTAAAGGAAGAACAAAGTTGGAGTACTCACAGCATTTTCAAAACTTACTACAAAGTTTCTGTAAACAAGACAGTGGAATATGCACAGACCTATAGTCAATGAAATGTGACATACAGTCAATGAAATGTGATTGATGGACCATAAATACATCCTTACATTACAGTCAATTAATTTTTGACCACTTACATTTACAGTAAACTGATTTTTGACCAGAGTGACAAGACTATTAATAGGAAAAGAATAGTCTTTTCAACAAAGTTTTGAGACAACTGGATATCTACATGTAAAAGAATGAAGTTGGACCCCTTCCTTATATCATAAATAAAATTAACTTAAAATGGTCCCTAGACCTTAATGAAAGAGTTAAAACTATAAAACTCCTAGCAGAAAAGATAGGAGTACATCTTTGTGACTTTGGATTTGGCAATGGATTCTTAGATATTGTACCAAAAGTATGAGCAACAAAAGAAAAAACAGGTAAGTTGGACCTCATCAAGATTAGGCTTTTGTGCTTTAAAGTGCACAATCAATAGAGAGAAAAAAAAAAAACTTAACAGAATGGGAGAAAATATTTGCAAATCATTTGTCTGACAAGGGACTTGTAGCTAGAATATAGAAAGAACTCTTACAACTCAATGATAAAAGGATACATGACCCAATTTTAAAAATGGGTAAGGATGTGAATAGACATTTCCAAAGAGGATATACGAATGGCCAAGAAGCATGTGAAAAGATGCTCAACATCATTAGCCATCCAAAACATGCAAATTGAACCACAATGAGATGCCACCCACTAGAACAGATATAATAAAAAAGACAGCTAGTAACAAGTGTTGTCAAGGATGTTGAGAAACTGGAACCCTCATACATTGCTAGTGGGACTAATGGTACTTTGTTTTTTATTTGTTTGTTTTTTTTTTGAGACAGAATCTTGCTCTGTCACCCAGGCTGGAGTAAGGTGGCGCAATCTCTGCTCACTGCGACCTCCGCCTCCCAGGTTCAAGTGATTCTCCCGCCTCAGCCTCCTGAGTAGCTGGGACCACGGCATGCGTCATCACGCCCAGCTAATTTTTATATTTTTAGGAGACATGGGGTTTTACCATGTTGGCCAGGCTGGTCTTGAACTCCTGGCCACAAGTGATCCACCGGCCTTGGCCTCCCAAAGTGTTGGGATTACAGGCGTGAGCCACCACACCCGGCCTAAAATGGTACTTTGGAAAACAGTCTGGCAGATCCTCAAAATTCTGAATATAGAGCTACCATACGATCCAGCAACTCTACTACTGGGTATATAACCAAGAGAAATGGAAACATATGTTGGTCTCAAGCTTATAAACAAATGTTTATAGTAGTGATATTTATAATAGCCAAAAAGTGGAAACAATCCAAATGTCTACCAACTCATGAATGGATAAATAACATGTGATATACCCACACAATGGAATATTATTTGGTCATAAAAAGGAACAAAGTACTGAAGCATGCTATAACCATGCATGAATCTTGAAAACATTAAGAAAGAAGCCAGTCACAAGAGCCCACAAAAAGTATGAATCCATTTATATGAAATGTTCATAATAGGTGAATCTATAGAGACAAAATGCACATTAGTGTTTGCCTAGGGCTGAAGGGGAGGATGTTTGGAGAGAAATAGGGAGTGACAACTAATGGGTACAGGGGTTTCTCTTTAGGGTAATAAAGATGATCTAAAGCTAATTGTAGTGGACGGTTGCACAATTCTAACTATACTAAAAATCATTGAATTGTATATATTAAATAGGTGAATTATATGGTATGTGAATTATTATCTCATAAAACTATCAAATATAAAAAGACTCCACCCTAAAATAACTTTCTAGTAATGCAATTAACATAGGCAGGACATACTAATGAATGACAAAATATATATGATACTTTGCTATACATTCAGTGAAGTATATTTTTAACAAGAAAATTGTTTTATCAAAATTATTTCCTAAATGAAACCATGAAATATTAACTTATTTCCAGATTTATAAATCCTATACCTTGAGGTACGACCTTCCCTCAAATGTACACTTTCCTCCAACACAAAAGGAATTGCTGTTCTGAACCATACAGTACAATTTCAACAACTTAGAGAGTAAAGAGCCACGTAAGGACAGAAGATCAAACAAACTTACATCGGGTTCTAGAGTCACACAGCGCTGAAATGCCTTTGCTGAACCTTGATAGTCTTCCAAGGCCAAATAGGCACAACCGAGAGAAAACCACACCCCGAGCTGCAAAGACCAAAAGTCAAAGTCATTCAAACACACAGAAACATTTACAGAATGTAATCTGAAAATTATTAAGATGCTATCAACAAACACACTCCTAGAAAGAATGCAGAGCTATATAATAAATATTTGCCTTACATTTAGTTTAAATGTAGAATATTTAGCAATGGAGGTAAATTTTTCCATATAATTTTCAATGTAAACACTGAAAAAGTGCAATATTATTGCATATGTTTCACGGAAAAAGTCCATACTTAGTGTAAACCAAACTCCTTACTGGGCATGTTGGCTGTGGGTTCAATCAGCTGCAGAGTGAAAATATTGGAGAAAAAAAAACTGGATGGTTGCATCTCTACTGAACATGTACAAACATTTTTTTCTTGTCATTATTCCCTAAACAATACAAATTATATAGCATTTGCACTGTGTTAGGTACCACAAGTAATCAAGAGATGATTGAAAGTATATAGGAGGATGTACATAAGTCATAAGAAAATACTACAGCATTTTATACAATGGACTTGAGCATCATGGATTTTGGTATTGGGGTTGGGGGCGGTGACGCCTGGAAGCAATCCCCCATGCATTCTGAGGGACCACCATATACAAAGTATCAGCAGATTCACAACTGATGAATGTATTACAAACTCAAAAAAAGAAATTTCTGTTTTCATCTTCAAACTAGACCACAAGAACTTCTGCAGCTTAACCAAGAGCCAAACTGCCCTAGCATATATCTGCTTTAGGCATGCCTGAAATTAATTTAGAAAAAGGAGGTTCAGAATCTGGATTACCAAATAGTTACTCAAAATGTAAAGTATGACCTAAGCCAATTAGATGTGTAAACACTGAGATTTAGAAAACAGATAAAATAGGAAGTAGCTATTCAGATTACAAAAAAAAATCTGTACATCATAATATTTCCTTAAAATTCAATAGCCTCTGTCAAAAGGGAGATAAAACTAACAAAAATTCGGCTGGGTGTGGTGGCTCACACCTGTAATCCCGGCACTTTGGGAGGCCGAGGTGGGCGGATCACTTGAGGTCAGGAGTTCAAAACCAGCCTGACCAACATGGTGAAGCCCCCGTCTCAACTAAAAATACAAAAATTAGCCGGACATGACGGTGTGCACCTGTAATCCCAGCTACTCGGGAAGCTGAGGCAGGAGAATCGCTTGAACCTAGGAGGTGGAGGCTGCAGTGACCTGAGATTGCACCACTGCACTCCAGCCTGGGCAACACAGTGAGACTCCATCTCAAACAAAACAAAACAAAAACAAAAACACAAAAAACTAACAAAAATTCAATGGAATTAGTCAGAAATGCAGCTATTATGAGTTGTTTTCCTTCCAACAGTCAGCAAAGGCAACTTTATAAGCAGATCGAAGTCTCCTTTCTTACTGACTTCCAGAAAGGCACTGAGCCAGCTGTCAGATTTACTTGGACAGTTTAGGTTAGGAAAGAAAATGAGGTACTCTGTTCTCTATCCACAGCCTTCCATAGAGGCAGAGTAGGAGGCTGCCTCTACATCACTCCTCCTTCAGCCATTCCCACAAAACTTGTTCCATGTGGCTAGCAGAGGCCTGAAAGTTCTTTAAGCAGATAAAGATTTTTAGCCAGTAATTAGAGATAAAGCTTAGAAAGCAAGCAGACTTGGGCCATTTAACGCTTTGCCATGAATTCACAGGAGGCTATAAATAACTGTTATCAGGAGCCTTTATGGAGAACAGATTTTGTTAGAGGGACAGGTAATGACTGAAAAGAGGATGGATATATGTCTACTGGGAGGGGGCAGAAGCAGAGGTACTAGGTTGAAACTAAAAGTTAGAAGTTCACTTTTTTGAATCATGGAACTTTCAACAACCTAAAAATGAGCTCACCACTTTGCTTTCATCTGTTTTTTAATAAAATTAAATGAAAAGAGCTTCAATGCACCAAACCACACTTGCTGAACATGATACATTCTGAGAGAACCTAAAGTCTGATGCTAACATGTAAAACAAGCTCTCTAAACTCCAACCAAGTAAAAAGTTTCAAAATCTGTGTATTATATTTCATCAATGTTAAAGTGTACTTTTTTCCCCACCATTTAACATTTCTGAAATAGAGATGCATCTGAAAAACCAATAGCTTATCAGTTTTATTGGCAACATTTTTTTTTCTATACAAAGTGGTACTTAAAGGTACTTCTTACAACCGATGGCATCTTAGATACAAAGAATTATGATACCAAGTTTACTTGGAATAAGGGATTCTTATTTTGAGACTAAATCAAGAACAATGAGAACTGACCTCAAGGTCCTCAAAATGCATGTGCTCTGCTTGTTTTCTGCATCAGCAAAGAACAGATACTATTTCCCATGTGTTGTTATAAGAACCACATGTGTGGCCGGGCAAAGTGGCTCACACCTGTAATCCCAGCACTTTGGGAGGCCGAGGCAGGTGGATCACGAGGTCAGGAGATCGAGACCATCCTGGCTAACACGGTGAAACCCCATCTCTACTAAAAATACAAAAAAATTAGCCGGGCGTGGTGGTGGGCGCCTGTAGTCCCAGGTACTCGGGAGGCTGAGGCAGGAGAATGGCGTGAACCCAGGAGGTGGAGCTTGCAGTGAGCTGAGATGGCGCCACTGCACTCCAGCCCGGGTGACAGAGCGAGACTCCGTCTCAAAAACAAACAAACAAACAAAAACACATGTAAATTCAAAATCTAAATAAAAACTTCATTTTTAAATCCATCTAAGAAGATTTACAAGGGTTGCAAATGTCCAAAATTAGCAATTACCTTCTAGCTCTAAAACAGACTGGTGATGAGGTTATCTTTTATTTTTAATTTTTAAAACTACTGAATGGTTTGTAACCAATGTCTTTAAAACCAAAACAAATTTAATGAAAATCAGACAGATGACTTAATTTAACATTAAGTATTATGGTTCTCTTTTCCTTTTACTCTTGGTTATTTTTGCAGTGTTTTAATACTTTGCATTGGAAGGAAAAATCCTAGGATCGTTAACTGCTAGGTTTTATCTACTGACAACAAGAAGGGAAATGAGCTTTGCACACAGTGGTGTTCTTTGAAATCATCCAATGGCTTTTCTTTTTTGAGGTCTTCAGAATTTGGGGGACTACAGACAATATTTGGTGCCTCTTTTACTTTTTTCTTTTTAAACTATTACTTAAACTGCTATTACCAATAGTGACTGGCATCTCAGTTCAGAATAGTCATACTCTTAAGAACAGAACATCATAAAAGAAAAACAAAATCAAAAGAAGCTTCAAAAAAAACCTCTCTCGATTCCTCAGAACATAGTTGTATATGTTTGGGTACAAAAATCTCTATCTTCTCGTCCAGTGCTATCACATAAAAGTATCATGCTAGTAGCCTCATTATATTTTCTACATTTCAAAAAGTCAAAGGAAGGTGGTCCATGCCTGTAATCCCTGCACTTTGGGAGGCTGAGGTGGGCAGATCACTTGAGGTCAGGAGTTCAAGACCAGCCTGGCCAAAATGGTAAAACCCTGTCTCTACTAAAGATACAAAAGAAATGAGCAGGCATGCGTCTGTAATCCCAGCTACTCGGGAGACTGAGGTGGGAGAATCACTTGAACCGGGAGGTGGAGGTTGCAGTGAGCCACAATCACGCCACTGCACTCTGGCCTGGGCTAAAAAATGAGACTCTGTCTCAAAAAAAAAAAAAAAAGTAAAAGGAAGGGTGAAATTTATTTTAATAACATTTTATTTAACTCTACATATCCAATATGCGATTCCTTCAATATATTATTACTATACAAAGTTATTGAGACATTTTATATCCACTTTTTCACACCAAGTCTTTGATGTGAATTCAAAGATGTGAATTCAACACAAATTTGTGAAATTTGATGTGAATTCAACACAGCATGGATCAATTTCAACTAGTCACATTTCAAGTGTCCATTGTCACACATGGCTAGTGGCTACCATTATTAACACAGTTACACTATTTCTCTAAAACACTGACATAGGCCCTGGAATACCTTGCATCCTTCCCTTCTTTCTCCAATAAAAAACTAGCTCCTTTGGCTGAGATCCTCCCTTGAGCTTCTTTCATATATTATAGTTACTCCTGTTCCTCTCTTTACAATAACAACCAAAATAATTAGCTCTTAATGAGCATCTGCTATGTGTGCCAAGCACTGACACCATGAGCTTTCCACACATTACTCATGCGTTCCTCACACCCACCCTGCAAGGTGGTCAATCTCACTCTCCTAAGAGAGGCGACAAAGAGTCAGAGTCAGTCACAGACAGAGGAGAGGTTCGACACAGTCAGTGTGACTCCAAAGACCACGTCCTCTCTGCCTCCGACAACACCATTCTGCCTATACACAAGCCATGATTTATGGCAATACCATCCTTGTCACCAATAAAGAGAGAGGGGGAAACAGGGCAGTTAACATGTGCTGGGAAAACCCAAAAGATAATTCTTTAAGAACCAGGAGCATATCTCTTCCCCCACAAACGCTCTCTTGATTGGGCTAGTCAGGTGGACAAAAGAAAACATAGAAAAATGGGTGGCCACAGGATGGGGCAAGAATGGAGGGAGATAATCACCTGATAGAGAGGCCCTGGTTGAGATTTCTGCAGAGCTTATTTCCAGGGCAAATCGTGAAGGCAAGCTGGCTGTATGCAGCCAATAACCTTTCAAAGCTGACTGTCTAGCGTTTCTGTCTCAGGGAGCCAATAGAGAAACACAAAAGCAGGCCAACTGTTTATTTTGAATGTGATAATACCTGTACTTAACCAATGGCTTTAAATTATTTTAAAAATAATTCACAAAGAACTCAAAAGGTTGAGAGCATGGTTTCTTTGAATTTCCCTCACAAAGTCCCCTAGAGTGTGATAGAGGAGAAAGACGACTGGGATTCAAGTGGCTCTGAGTAACTGTTACGACCCTGGCTATGTCACTTAACCTATGAGTCTCAGTTCCCCAAGTGTGAAATAAGCAGGGGTGGACTAGGCTAAAATTCCTGAGTTCTCCAGATGCCCCAGATTCTGAAAACCCAGAGGGGACTGGGTTCGAAGGTACACAATTGCCATCTAGTGGCAAAATAAGGACATTGACAATAGAATGGAATATAGAAGCACTTCAACTTATAGGGTTATGTTCTGATAAATCCATCATAAATTGAAAATATTGTTAAGTCAAAAATACATTAAATTCACTTGATCTGCTGAACCTAATAGCTTCACCTAGCATACCTTAAACATGCTCAGAACACTTACATTAGACTACAGATAGAGAAAATCATGTAGCACAAAGCCGATTTTATTTTTTAAAAAGTGTGGAGTGTCTCATGGAATTTATTGACTACTATACTGAAAGTTATCAACAGAATAGATGTATGGTTACTCTAAGCATAGTTTCTACTGAAAATGTATCATTTTTGCACCATCATAAAGTCAAAAAGTTATTAAGTGGAACTATTGTAAGTCAGGGATCGTCCGGTATTTAGAATTAGCAGGTTTGAAGAACTGGAAGGGAATCAATTCAATTAGAGACCTTAGAAATCAGTTCAAAAGAGATCTAGAGGAAAATGATGCTTACAAAGGAAATAACTGGCTTAAAGCCACACAATGGTTCCTCAACCCAAGTGTGAAATATGTGTGCTGAAGACAGTGACTGTAATACTTATTAAACCTTAATAATTAAAATAAAAATTAAAGTTTGCTACCCTGAGGGCTAGCAAAAACTAAGCACCACTAGACAACTGGCATAGATAACTTTTATAATTAAAAAGTTAATTTTTACAAGGGTATTTAAGACACATCTGCAATGGGTACCACTTATGAACCTACTACTCAAACTCCCTTCCTCTTGAAAGTTTCCACATCATTGATAATCAGTATTCAAACTTTTGGCTAATTTCCCTCATATGATCAACTGTTTTGAATTTTTCTGTCACATATAATAAAGGTTAATGTAGAATAATCTAATCCTAAAGCCATACCACACTCTCCACTCTTTCTGTACCCCTGCCTGATTTCTGTGACCCCAAACACAGATGAGTTGTTGAATGTGGTATCATTAAACAGGAAATGACCGAAGTGAAATCCAAGAGTGACATCAATGGTGTCTGATAGTAGCTTTTCCTAAAGTGATGCTTGATGCTCATTTTTTTCCTCATGTGCACTGCCAACTCCTTCATAGCCAAGTTTCTCATTTACTAAATTCTAAGTTCTCCTTCCATGAGGAAATATAAATCTTAACCTACCAGCTTCCTGATCTCTCCAAAGGAATAATTTCTTCTATTTCAGTGTCTTCCCTTAAACTAAAGGATCAACTAAATTTTATACATACTTTTTCTTTTACTAGAGGTTATTAATTACTGAATGCCCTTCTCTTAATTCTTGTGCTAGATTTGGTTACCACTGGTCTTTATATTTGCTGAGTCTTTTCAAATAATTCACAATGCAAAGTAACACAGGTGTTTATATGTCATCTGCATGTGAGATTCTCCTGTTAGATATATCTCCCTAATTTTAGGCTACAGATAATGGGGCAACAATGGTTTTTCTACAGTGCAACAGGCAGAAAAGAAAAGAACGACTACGTAACATCTATTATTGCGAACTTACTATGGGCCAGGAAATATGTTAGACACCTAACATATACTGGCTCTAATTTTCTCAGCAGCAAATCCAGGTAGAGATTATAAACTCCATTATTTAAAAGCTCAGAAAGATGAAGAGATTTGCCTTTGTTATCTTCCTCGGGATTACCAGAATTCAGAATCAGGTCTATGGTAGCAAAGCTTTCGGCCTCCCCACTATGCATCAGTCACACCTACAGCCCAGATGTTATCACAGTACTCACATTTCTTGGCAGTTATGCAAGTTACACCTTAAGACTTTCATTCTGTACTGCTTACCAATATTAGAAGGGAAAAATAAAAAGGAAAGAATGTCTTTTTTCCGTACATATTATTCACATATGTTCATCCTATCCTCCCTATTGGAATGTGAGTTCCAACATCCTCAAGTCTTCCCACCACAAATAACATAAGTTCAAAACAGAAACGATATAAATCCATTTCAAATAAAAATATTTTATCCTTTCAAAAGCTAAAATGAAAGAAAAAGTTAAATCAAGGAAGAGCAGCATGTACAAACCGCTAAGATGATTAAAATGTCAGAGTACTGTATCATAGAAGTCTGGTCTTATGTATAGCAATGGCCTTGGAAAGGTCGGCTCAGTTAAATCCCTGGTCTCAAAGAGAGTCACTCCCTAACATGTGCTGGATGGTTCCCAAACATCAATCTTACATTCTCACTTTGCTTCTGATGAAAGCCCCGATGGCTCTTCATTAAAGGATGAAAAAAGTTCAAACCTGACAGACTGGTATTCAGGGCTTTTTATAACTTGACCTCAACCAAATCTGCCATTACGTCCTAGCATACTATGATATCCTCGAGGGCAAAACTGTGAAGAGGTTAAGAGCAAGAGCTCTGGAATCAGAAAGCTCAGGTTGAAATCCCAGCCCCATCCCTCATAAACTGTAAAATCTAGTACAAATTACTTAACCCTCTATTTCTTCATTTATGAAAGTAGGGTAAAAACAATAAGTAACTCAGTGACTGCAGAGAATTAAAAATATATGGAAAATGCTTCTAGAACAGTACCTGGCACTGAGTAAATACTCAGCATTAGTTGCTATTCTCATTATTATAACTGAATAAAATATAAACCACCAAAACTGATAGTTACCAAGAAACTGCTCTCTGCAGGGTTGGTTTTTACATCCGCTAGTCTCCTTCCTTGAAACATATTTTCCCAATTTTTTCCACCTATCCAAATCCCAACCATTCCTGGTAGTTCACACCAATATTCACTTCCATCAGGCTTTTTCTGACCATTCACATCCTTATTTACAAGGCCACCCAAAAGCATTGCCAGGCACCCAAAGCATGTTGCCTATTCACTCAATTCCTTGGCTACACACAATGCTATTCATGCCTCCTCTCTCCATTTAACCTATATAAACCCCTGGAGGGCAGGAGTCTGTGTCTTAACACAATTCTCCTGTATCCCCCTCAATACCTCAATGGTTTACAAAGAGTTCATACTTACATAAGAGCTTAGAATATAGATGCTTAATGAATAGAAATAGCTATTATAATGTTAATGTTCTCATTTTCCAGTCTCATTTTTAATACTATTCCTTATTTCCAAAGCTAATATCTTCATCTCTTCTCCTCATTCCACTCTCCCCTAGAATGATATTCCCTATTTATCTCCCCTCTCTCCTTACAATATTCAATCTCTCCTTTATCCACAGGAGTCTTTCATTTCTGCCTTCCTCCATGTAAAGGTCTCCAGTATCTTGAAATGTTTTACCTGACTTTTCTGCCCCTCTGAGTACAACACTCTACATTTGTCTCTCATCTCTCTGACGTGCTCCTAAAAGGAACAGTCTATAGATTCTATCTCCATTTCTTCATCTATCACTCACCCTTTACTCTCCTGAATCTGTTTTTGAATGTCATCAGTGAGCTCCAAATCCAATGACCTCTTCATAGCCCTCTGCACTTTATCACTACATGTGACATAACTCGCTGACATTTGCTCTTGTTTTAGGTGCCATGAACCCCTTGCTGGGGTTTCCTTCTATCCCTCTGACCAAGACTCTGATGTACTTTGAGTCCTGTTTCACTGGTGCCATTTATCCTATCTTCTTCCAACTTCAGGAGATGCCCAAAGCTCAGGACATTGCCTGTTATTCTCTTCCAACACAGTTTTCTGTGAAGAACTCACTTTCATGGTTTCAAGTAACTTCCACAGAAAAGCCCCATCTGCATGCTCAGGCCTCACTGTTGGGCTTCACTAGGGCTTTTATCTCCAATGGACTAGCAACAATCTCTGCTACAATACAGCACCATCTCCTCATATTCAACATCCAAAACCACATCACCTTGCTGGCAAAAGATATTTTCCCTTCCTCCTAAATCCCTATGGCTATCAATAGAGACATTTTCCTTTTTAATCAGAAAATTGAGAAAACTGGCCTCCTCTCTGATTCCAACGTCTCCCTCAATACTGCCAGCCCAATGTGTAAGTCCCAGAAAATTTCCTCTGTAATGAGGCTTCAGTCATTCTATGTTTTCCATGCTTACCACTCAAGCCACTGATAACTCACCCATGATATTCATTCCTTATTTAAACTTCCCATAATACCACTTTTGTCATATCACTTTTTAATTCAAAACCACAATAGGCTCCCACATCTACAGGGTTAGGTAATCTTGATACAGGGCATTTAAGGCCCTTTGGAAACTAGTTCTGTCCATTATCATTTCCTGGCAGAAACTCTCTGTTCTCTGTTGATAGGTTGACATAGCACAATTCATAACCACATCCATATCTGATATACAAGTACTTGATAATGCTTAGTTAGGCAACCACATAATGTAATGTACAAACTGCAACACTTTTGAAAGTGAACCAGAGCACTAAAGAAAATAATTTAAATTACACGGTTTAAATAAACATATTTATCAACCAACAAACTGTTGATCAATAAATTGGTTTTACTCCATCTGGGGACTTATAAGATGATTCTATTCAAAAATTATTTTCAAAAACAAAATTATTGAAAAATAAAACTACATTAAAGTAAAAAAATTTTAATGCTGATTATGTGAACATTAAAAAATAATAAAGGAGAATTAATCAAGCTGTACAATTATAATTTTGTACATTTCCATAATCTATTACAGAATTAAAATTAATTATTCTGAGTAGACATTCATATGCTTTAATCAGTGTTTTAGTCATATTTTATGCTAATACCATGTCATTGATATTTTACTAATGAATATATTCTTTCAATATGATCTTAGTATTTTTTATTTTTTCCTAAGATTACCTGCTACTTCAAAGTTGTTCTTTATTGTTAATTGTCAGATTCATTGTTTACACATTTAAAATTGTTGACTCTTTTATTGACTCTTTTCTAGGGGACACAATAATTTTAATTGAAAATATTATTTTGAAGTATACTGATGTACCTGGTAAGCTCAGAGCAACTTCTGCTAAATAGAACATATTTTTAATTCTAGCTTTGTTAATATTAAAACTTATAATGGCCGGGCGCGGTGGCTCACGCCTGTAATCCCAGCACTTTGGGAGGCCGAGGCGGGTGGATCATGAG
Source organism: Homo sapiens (assembly GCF_000001405.40). NCBI lineage: Eukaryota > Metazoa > Chordata > Mammalia > Primates > Hominidae > Homo > Homo sapiens. Next base: position 32,767,693 of record NC_000002.12, on the reverse strand, counting down.
GTCAGGAGATCGAGACCATCCTGGCTAACAAGGTGAAACCCCGTCTCTACTAAAAATACAAAAAATTAGCCGGGCGCGGTGGCGGGCGCCTGTAGTCCCAGCTACTCGGGAGGCTGAGGCAGGAGAATGGCGTGAACCTGGGAAGCGGAGCTTGCAGTGAGCCGAGATTGCGCCACTGCAGTCCGCAGTCCTTGGCCTGGGAGACAGAGCGAGACTCTGTCTCAAAAAAAAAAAAAAAAACAAAAAAAAACTTATAAATATTCACTTAGTATCTTTTGGCTTCCATTTAGGGTACTTTTCTTCAACAAATATTTTTAACAAGACAAAATATATCAAATATGCTGTCTCTATTTATGATTTTTGTAATGTTTCACCAGATTTAGATGCTGCTAAATTACAGGCCTCTATTACAGTCTGCTCTAGTAAAGGATATAAATTTATTCAATTAAAATCAGAAACTCAATCAAAAGTTTCTTACAAATTATTACTGATGTTTTAAGTGCAATGGTATTACGGTTTTAAAAAATTCCCTATTTCTTAGACAAATATACTCAAAATGTTTTTAAGGAAATGATTTGATGTATGGGATTTGCTTTAAAATAGTATGAAGCCAGGCATGGTGGCTGACGCCTATAATCCCAACACTTTGGAAGGTCAAGCGGGGCAGATCGCTTGAGGCCAGGAGTTCAAAACAAGCCTGAGTAACATAATGAAACTTTGTCTCTACAAAAAATACAAAAATTAGCCGGTCGTGGTGGTGCATGCCTATAGTCCCAGCTTCTCAGGTGGCTGACGCAGCAGGATTGCTTGAACCCGGGAGATGAAGGTTCCAGTGAGCAGAGATCGCACCACTGCACTCCAGCCTGAGTGACAGAGTGAGACCCTGTTGCAAAAATAAATAAATAAATAATAAAGCAATATGAGGTGAAGTAGGGAAATACAAATAACACAAGATCAGCCATTTTTCCAACACTGTGTGCTTACTTCGTGTCTCTGTCACATTTTGGTAACTCTCACAATATTTCAAATCTTTTCATTATTATTACATTTGTTATGGTGATCTGCAAACAGTAATCTTTGATGCTACTATTGCAATTGTTTGGGGGCACCACAAACTGCACACATATAGGACAGTGAACTTAACTGATAAATGCTGTGTATGTTCTGACTGCTCCACTGACCAGCTACTCTCCTATCTTCTCCCTCTCCTCAGGCCTCCCGCTTCCCTAAGACACAACAATATTGAAATTAGACAATTAATAACCCTACAGTGCCTCTCAGCGTTCAAGTAAAAGGAAGAGTCACACATACCCTACTTTAAATCAAAAGCTAGAAATGATGAGGGACTGTGGATCACAGAAGAACTAGAAGCGAGGCCTCTGAATGTCCTTACCAAAAAGAAATGATAAATGTATCAGGTGATCATCATGCTAAATACCCTGATTTGATCATAATACAACATATACCTGTATTGAAACAGAAAATTGTACTCCATAAATATGTATAATTACAATGTATCAAATGAAAAGAAAGCTAGAAATGATTAAGTTTAGTGAGAAAGGCATGTCGAAAACTGAGACAGGCCGAAAGCTGGGCCTCCTGTACCAAACTGTTAACCAAGTTATGAATGCAAAGGAAAAGCTCTTGAAGGAAATTAAAAGTGCTCCTCCAGGGAATACACAAGTGATAAGAAAGCGAAATGGCCTTATTGCTGATACGGGGAAAGTCTGAGTGGTCTAGATAGATCAAACCAGCCATAACATTCTCTTCAGTCAAAGCCTAATTCAGAGCTAGGCCCTAACTCTCTTCAATTCTGTGAAGGCTGAGAAAGGTGGAGAAGCTGCAGAAGAAAGTTTGAATCTAGTAGAGATGGTTCATGAGGTTTAAGGAAAGAAGCCATCCCCATAACATAAAAGTGCACAATGAAACAGCAAGTAGTGATGGAGAAACTGCAGCAAGTTATCCAGAAGATCTGACTAAGACCATTGATGAAGGTGGCTGCACTAAACAGATTTTCTAGGAAGACAAAACAACCTTCTTTTAGAAGAAGATGTCATCTAGGACTTTCATAGCTAGAGAGAAGTCAATGCCTGACTTCAAAGGACAGGCTGACTCTCCTATTAGGGGCTAATACACCTGGTGACTTTAGGCTGAAGCCAATGCTCATTCACCACCCGAAAATCCCACAGCCCTAAAGAATTAGGCTAAACCTACTCTGCCTGAGGACTGTAAGTGGAACAATGAAGCCCAGAAGACAATACTTCTGTTTACAGCACGGTTTACTGAATATTTCAAGGCCATTGTGGAGACTTACTCCTTAAAAAAAAAAAAAAAAAGATTCCTTTCAAAATATTACTGATCATTGACATAGCACCTCGTCACACAAGAGCTCTGATGAAGATGTACAAGGAGATTAATGTTTTCATGCTTGCTAACACAACAACCACTCCGCAGCCATGGAACAAGGAGTAATCTAGACTTTCAAGTTTTATTATTTGAGAAATACATTTCACAAGGGTATATAGCCACCATACATAGTGATTCCTCTGATGGATCTGGGCAAAGCAAATTGAAAATCTTCTGGAAAGGATTCACCATTCTAATGTTCACCAATAAGAACATTCCTGATTCATGGGAGGAAGTCAAAACATCAACATTAATAGGAGTTTGGAAGAAGCTGATTCCAACTTTCATGGATGACTTTTAAGCGTTCGAGATTTCAGTGGAGGCAGTCACTACACGTGTGGCAGAAATACAGAACTATAATTAGAAGGGAGCCTGAAGATGTGGTTGAATTGCCATAATCTCATGATAAAACTTGAAGAAATGAGAAGTTGCCTCTTATGCATGAATAAAGAAAGTGGTTTCTTGAGATGGAATTTGTTCCTCGTGAAGATGTTGTAAACATTGTTGAAATGACAAGGATTTAGAATATTACATAAACTTGATTGATAAAGTAGCAGCAGGGTTAGAGAAGACTGACTCCAATTTTGAAAGAAGTTCTGCTGTGGCTAAAGAGCTATCAAACACCATTGTATGCTACAGAGAAATCTGGCATGAAAGGAAGAGTCCATCTATGCAGCAAACTTCACTGTTGCCTTATTTTAAGGAATTGCCACAGCTACTCCAGCCTTTAGTAACCATCACACTGATCAGTCAGCAACCATTAACACTGAGACAAGACCTTCCACCAGCAAAAAGATGATAACTCACTGAAGGCTCAGATAATCATTAGCATTTTTTTTTGGTAATAAAGTAGGTTTAAATTAAGGTATTTATGATTTTTGTTTGTTTTTTTTTAGACATAATAGTATTGCACACTTGATAGACTACAGCATAAACTCAACCTTTATGTGCCTGGGAAACCAAAAAATTCGCATGACTTGCTTTATTACAATATTTGCTTTACTGCGGTGGCCTGGAACTGAATCTACAGTATCTCTGTGGTATGCTTGTACATATACTGTTCACAGTATCATATAATCTCACAAAGGTGAGTGACTGGTTGACTGAGGAGGAGGTTAAGGAAAATAAATTTTTAAAAAGGTAGAAGAGACTGACAAAAGTAAAGGAAAACTGTATGTGTGTTAAGTGGGAGATGGAAAAACTGACAGGACATAATATTTCTCTTTTTCAGTGCTAAACGTACTGGCTTGATAGCTGAGTAATTTCTTTGGTTTTTACATTTTTGCATAAAAGTAGAGTGTTAACAGGAATAATAACTACCTAAGAATAGGAATAAGAATGTATATTTTAATTCTAGCCTCTGCCTGGGAAATTGTGCCTGGGAGATTTGGTCAGATTTCCCTCCCATTTTCTTCAGCTTTCACTATCCCGCAAACCTCAGAAATCTAAGGTTGAATTTAAGTAGTTTCAGAAGTCACTTGCAAAAATGAAACAAGTGGGTATAAGTGAACAATAGCTAGCAATCTCCAAAGCGTAAATATAAGTGGTACGTCTTTTGGTTCTCTAATGAATGCACCATAGACAATGTATTTAGTTTTGCATCTCATCCCTGTTATTAGACCAAACCCCTCTATTTCGTATAGGAGCTCTCATTTTTTAAACTTGAGCTCTCACTCAATTTATAGAAGTTCTTTGTTTTTATTTAAGCTCTCACTTTAAAATGCGCTTAAATCTAAAAGATGGACAATAGCCTTTTTCCCCCTAACCCTTTCCAGATACAACTGCTCTTATACCAATTTGACTTTAGAAAGTTATTAAGAGGTGCAGAAGCCATTCAAATACCACTTTGGTTTGCCTAAATTTTGTTATTTAACCTAATTCTTTGGATATGTCTAAAAAAGAGGATAGAATTTTTTTAAATTCCATGTTTCTATTTTCCCTTTATTGCAGGTCTTAAAGGAGACAACATAGCATATAGGCGTTCTCCCTCCAGACAGTTCAAACTTGGTTCACAGTTAAAATGAGTCTACAGTGTTCAAGTTTGCATCTTGTAGTAGTTCTGTACAATTACAGCATTCAATACCTGCATATTTTGGCATGGTTTACCGCCCGCCTGAATTGGATCCATATGAGAAGCTCCAAAATATTTTCACATAACATCTGTTTATACTGTGACTCTGCTTTGAGCAATTGTCATTTCTTTGTCTACGTAAATAATTAATTCTAAATTATATAATGAGACCAGCAAGCCCTGTCAAGTTCTCCCCTGTGACTTCCCTCACTTCATCCCTTCCTTCCTATTGCCCCTCCCACACTGAGAATTGCCATGGCTAAAAACTAGGCTATTGGGCTGAGCGCGGTGGCTCACGCCTGTAATCCCAGCACTTTGGGAGACCGAGGCGGGCGGATCACAAGGTCAGGAGTTCAAGACCAGCCTGACCAACATGGCGAAACCCCGTTTCTACTAAAAATACAAAAATTAGCTGGGCATGGTGGCATGTGCCTGTAATCCCAGCTACTTGGAAGGCTGAGGCAGGAGAATCGCCTGAACCTGGGAAGCAGAGATTGCAGTGAGCTGAGAAGCTGAGATCGCGCCACTGCACTCCAGCCTGGGTGACAGAGCGAGACTCCATCTCAAAAAACAAAACAAAAAAAAAAACCCAAAAAACTAAACTATTGCTACAGTCTCTTAACTCAGCCTCCATCTAGAATCTCCTACAGCCAGTGTTACCAAAACAATATTCCTGAATTACCTCTTTACACACCACATTCCTTCATTTAAAACAAAGCTCCAAAGAAATCAACCCTTTAATGGCTATCTGTCAAATAAAAACCCAACGGTTTAGCCTCACATTGAAGACGTTTCACAGCCTGGCTCCAGTCTAGGTTTCGCACTATAACTGCCCTACTTCCTTCTACCCTAAAAAACTAACCTCTTCACCAAACCTCTGTTCCCCCAACACACACACACACACACACACACACACACACACACACACACACACACACACTTCTCTCTGTGTTTCTAGAGCTTTGCTCATACTCTTCACCTGCCTAGAATGCCCCCACCACTGCACTTCCTTTGCCTATTCTAGTCCTACCTGTCTTTCAAAGCCGACTCCAACATCCTCTCTTCATTGTCTACCAAAAGTAGAAATGTTCTCTTTGGCCTCTATATAACTGGTGCTTTACATATAAATTGCTAGGTTTTTCTTTGTTGCATCATATTGTTAGCTAGTTCTGTCTGTGTTTGCTTCACTAGATTGCCATGGTGCAAATGGGACTATCTGCTGACCTGCTGCTATGTCTTCATTCTTTGGCTCAGTGCTACGTGCAGGGCAGACAATTAGTATATATTTGACTGAAAAAAAGTAGTTGAAGATACTATTTATTCACCCATTTGACAAATATTTATTGAATATCTGATAAGTACAAGGCACTTTAATAGGCCTTACATTCTAGTGAAGACAAAACAGAACTTTTTTAAAAAAGTAAGCTATACATAAGTGCTACGGAAAAAAATAAAGCAGGGAAGGAAAATTAGGAGTATAAGGTAGGGGTATGATTTTAAATAGAATGATCATGGAAGGCCCCTCTGAGAAAGTGACCTTCGAGCAGACTTGAATGAAATATCTGGAAGAAGGACATTCCAGGCAGAGAAAGAGCAAGAGGAAGACCCTGAGGCAGGAATGTGCCTGGCATATTCAGAGAACAAGGAGGGCAATGTGGGGTGAGAAAAGGGGAGAATTGGAGGAAGGAGGAAGAAGTGCCGGGAGCTAGATACTGGGGAAAGTCTTGAGAGCCATTAAGAGACTGGGTATTACCATAACTGACCTGAGTTTGAAAGATAAATGTGGATGTCCTTTGAGAATAGGCAGAGGGGCAAGGAGAAAGGCAGGAAGACCAATAAGGAGGTAACATAATTAATCAGGTGCAAGACAATGGGGATTTGGACCAGGATGACAGGAGGTGGTAAGAAGCAGTCTGATTCTGGACATATTTTGAAGGCAGATCTGCTAGGACTTGCTGATCGATTAGATGTGGGGTATACGGGTAAGAGGAATTAAGCATGACTCCAAGGTTGGATGGGGTTGCTATTTATAGGGATGAGGATAAGGATAAGCTTGGGAGGAAGAGGGATTAGGGATGGGGAGAACACTTCAGATACTGTAAATGTTAGGTTGGAGTGAGGAATGGGGAGATCGCGTAAGCAGTTAAGTACTGGCGTCGAGTTCAGGGGAGAAAACAGGAGTGAAAATAAAATCTGGGAAGTTGTCAGTGTATAGTTGGAACTTAAAGCTCCAGCACTAGATGAAATCAAGGAAGTAAGTGCAGACAAAGACAAGGTCCAAGGACTAAGCCTTTAAGGCACCCCTAGGAACCAGCAAGGGAGCCTGAGAAGGAGCTGCCAGCGAGGCAGAAGGAAAAGGATAATGCTGATGTGTTGAGAACAGACTGTGCGCTGCAGAGAACAATTCATGTCTGTGAGGCACCTGGCACTGATTTAACTGCGATTGTGGCAGGCTAAGCGAGGGAACTCACTTCCCCCACTCATAAGGCAACTGCAGCTAGGGTAAACTTTAGGCAGAAGCTTCCAAGATATGCAAGGATATGATACAGTTTTTCAGAAAAGTAAAATTTTAAAAACAATATTGAGTGAGTTCTCCCTTCTATCAAAAACCAAAAACCAACCCCTCCCCGCCGCCAAAAAAAATAGAGTGATAATCAAGTTAGAGGAGGGTTTCTCAACCATGGCACTAGTGGCATGACAGGCCAGATAATCTTTATTGTGGGGGCTGTGCTGTGTATTACGGGATGTTTAGCAGCATCCCTGGCCTCCACCCACTCGATGTCAGTAGCACATCCCCACACGTCCCCACTGTCAAAACCAAAAATGACTACGTGAGTTGCCAAACGTCCTCTGGGGGACAAAATCATCCCCAGTGACTTAGAGCAAACTGTCAACAAAAACCAATTCCTTAGTATACTCTAAGCATCCTTGCTGTCAAATACACCCATTAGTTTCTGCTGATATTCTGTACTTACACCTGTCCTACTCTCTTCTCCAGGCTTTTTACCTGATTTGGAAAGTTCTAATTATATTCACCATTCAGAGTTCGGAAAGTAAGCAATTAGCTCAATCCAGCATAAGAAAATGCACTTCTGATTTTTTTTCAATGTAAAACGCATTCCCTCAGTTATCCAGTTCAAAAATGACAATTTCTGCACACCCATGTTCACAGCAGCACTACTCACAATAGTCAAGAGGTGGAAGTAAGCCAAGTATCCATCAACAGATGAATGGGTAAACAAAAGGAAGTATGTACATAAAATGGAATATTATTCAGCCTTAAAAAGGCAGGAGGTTCTGACACATGCTACAACATGAAGGAACCTTCAGGACATTATGCTAAGTGAAATAAGTCAGTCACAAAAGGACAAATATTGTATGATTCCACTTTTACAAGTTACCTAGTAAAAATCATAAGACAGTTACCCAGTTAAAATCATAAGACAGAAAGTAAATGGTGGTTGCAGGTGCCAGGATGGGGAACGAAGGGGAAACAGGGAGTTGTTTAATGAGTATAGAGTTTTGGTTTTACAGGATGAAAAAGTTCTGGAGATTGGTTGCCCAACAATGGGAATGTACCTAACACTATTGAACTGTACTTTCATTTAATTTTATTTATTTATTTTTTTCAGAGATGAGGTCTCACTATGTTGCCCAGGCTGGTTTCAAACTCCTGAGCTCAATTAATCCCTTGGCCTCCCAAAGTGCTGGGATTATAGATGTAAGCCACCATGCCTGGCACTGAACTGTACTTTTAAAAATGGTTAAGATGGTAATTTTTCTATGTTTTTTACCACAATTAAAGAAAAAAAGACAGTGTAGGCTCTGGAATCAGACCATCTGGATTCGAATACTAGCAAAATGCTTAATGAATTACCTGGCTCATAGTAAGTGCTTGGTGAACATTAGTCACTAATTATAAGTTAGTATTTTAACTGGTGATTACAGCAAATCAGTGTGCATGTTTTTCAACAGCAATGATTGACAGTTATATGTGCCTTTGATTGGTGAAATGGGAAGGCAGTTATAAATAAAGTTTGGTAGAAAAAATGACCATTTCTAATAATAAAACATTCTGATAACTGAATATCATTAAGTACAAAATAAGGTTAATCTCTTTTCCCTCAAAATTAGGTCCACTCCTATGGATTTATCATGTCACTTAGTTTAAAGATCCAGACCCTTTCGCATTATTTTTTTCAAACCTTTAAAAACTTTTAAACATTTAAATGTATTTGTGTGTATATAAATACACGTTTTTCTTAAAATGATCAAGAATCCATTCTATATGCTATCCTATTTATATAAAGGTTTTTCTTTCATTACTGATTTCAGCAAATACTTGCAAAGTCCTATGCTGTCTGCAATTTTGGCTCTTGTTCATTTTCTTCCTAACATATCCGCTCAAAATTGGACCTAATTTTAATAGTTGTATGTCAGTTAAGGACAGATAAGGGAAAAAAATAACAAAATGAAACAGAAAGTTAAAGTAATAGAAAGTGAATTAAAAAAAACCTATCCACTTTTTGCAACAAGCAAGTTTGCAACAAGCAAAAAGTCTATTAGAGACTAAGTTCTTAGCTGTCAAAAACAAACTCACCAGTTATCAGGTTAGAAAATGGGTACTCATTCTGTAAGATCAAATCCAAAGAACAGCACAAGCGCTGAGAGCAGCAGGGGGTTATGAGTTGTCTAACCTGCATGGGATTAATCTTAACCGAGCGTTCGAAGCACTCTACACACTCTTGAAACTCCTTGTTCCGAAGATGAAGGAGGGCTTTGGAGCGCTGAGCACGAGCACTGCGGTACCGGGACAACTCCCAGGCCTTGTCATAGCAAGAATGGTCTCCGAGGACATCTCCAAGCAAGCAGTATAAACTAGGCGTTTCTTTTTTCTCCAGCTCTTGTCTAAGGATTTCTTCTGCCTAGAAACAACAGAAATAATGAAATTGCTTAAGAGTGATTAACTGCTATTTTTTTTTTTAGCACATATACATCTTTAATCTCACACAATCCAAATTTTTATTTTCAACGTTTGAGATTTCTTATTTGACCTATCAAGGACACAGGTTGAGTAAGAGGACCGATACAAAATAAATACAGGCATACCTCAGAGATATTGCGGGTTTGGTCCCAGACCACTGCAATAAAGTGAATACTGCAATAAAGCAAGTCACAAAGTTTTTGATTTCCAGCACACATAAAAGTTGTTTTTCGCCAGACGTGGTGGCTCACGCCTGGAATCCCAGCACTTTGGGAAGCTGAGGTGGGTGGATTGCCTGAGGTCAGGAGTTCAAGACCAGCCTGGCCAATATGGTGAAACCCTGTCTCTACTAAAAATACAAAAATTAGCCGGGCGTGGTGGCAGGTGCCTGCCTGTAATCCCAACTTCTTGGGTGGGAGGCTGAGGCAGGAGAAATCGCTTGAACCCAGGAGGTGGAGGTTGCAGTGAGCCAAGACTGAGTCATTGCACTCCAGCCTGGACAACAAGAGTGAAACTCTGACTCAAAAAAACAAAAAAAAAAGTTGTTTTTACACTATACTGTAGTCTATTAAGTATGCAATAGCATTTTGTCTAAAAAAAAATGTGCACAGCTTAATTGCTACAAAATGCTAACACAGAGATATGAAGTAAGCACATGTGGTTGGAAAAATGGTGCTGACGGACTTGTTTGACACAGGGTTGTCACAAACCTTCCATCTGTAAAAGGCGCCGTATCTGTGAGGTGCTATAAAGTGAAGTGTAATAAAAAGAGGTATGTCTCTAAGGTGCAAGTAAAAGAAAGGAACAAGGAATAAAAGGGGAACACTGCTTCACTGGCCCTCTGGGGTCCTCAAGGAAAGGCACCGAAGAGAGGTTTACTTAATGATATCAGGTGGCCTCACTACCTGCTCCAGGTGTCGCCACTGTGACCATTTTTTAGAGCAGTACCTTTCATTCACCTCTACCCAAAGGCAATGAAAAGCATGTTTTTCCTTTTTCAAAACGGTATGGTTGGGGAGCCTGGGATCACTGTGGAATTTATAAAGGAGGGGTTTTTAGCAATGTCTATTAAATTGTATCTAAATTTACATACAACTTAATAGGCACTGCTTAAAACCTACCTCTTTATCAAACTACATCCTACTTCACAGATAAAACTTGCTCATACTAGACCTACCTGATTCCAGACAGCCCATTCACTTTAGAAATTAAAAATCATCCTCAATACATTGCACAGACTTCGGCATTATTCTCATATGTCCACAGTTTGGAGCTACCTCATCACTCAGGCTAATTGTGTACTTGTTGCCACCACTCCTCAACTTCCTCCCACCACCATGTCCACCATCCCATTTCTGATAAACTTCAACATAGACCAAGAAGCACAGTAGTAGCTCTACTTTGCATCCTCACACACACGCCTTCACGTAAACAGCAGTGGTGCTGCCAAGGACGCTAGGATAGCCATTGCCAAAATGGATGTACATATCCAGGAAAGCCATCCTTTAGCAGCTAAAATGAGACTTTAAAGCCCCTAACATACATCAGTTGGCAATCCGAAAGTCTGTATATTTGATTTTCTTTAGGTTGGGCATATCTATACTCCTTAAGCAGTCTAATTTTTGTGAACTCTTTTAAAAGAAGACTATACTTCTAAAAGTGTCTTTGGATGTTGGCTCCTCTGCATTCTGATATAGTTCAGGTTGTGTATGCTTTTAGACCTAATCTGAAAGTGAAACTGGAATTTATAAAACAGTTTCTAAGAAAAAATACTTTTAAGTCCCAGTCAAAATAAACATAAAGTTTTAGAATATAATCCATGTAATTCCTCTCTTCAAACATCAATACAATAGCTATTAAAGTACCTAACTATAACTCTAGTCACCTATAAAGAGATGTATTCAACCACAAACTGTAGCCGCAGCAGAATTTTTGCTGAAATCATCTCACTGCGTGATTGAAGGCATTTCTCTTGACAGCCCGATACTGACGGTATGGTACCCACGTCACCCCAGAAATTCTGGAGGCCAATTCACCTAATAAATTCCTTTCTGCTTTAGCCAGTTACAGCGTACTGTAGTGGTCTGTAATTAAACAATGACCATTATAGTAATTGGGTATAGAAATGATTTCAGGCAATGTACTCCTGGGGCAAATGGAAATGTGTGATTGGTATCTGATCTGGTTGGGTTTGAAGACAGAAAGGCTGCAGTGATCATAAGAGGGTTAAACACTGGTAGTCCATGATATCCCATGATGAAAGAATTACTTAAGTTATCATGTGTAGTAACAGAACTAAGACAGTTACCTAATGCACGGCTTTGCATATTGAGTGATAGATTATGAGGGAATACAACAACTGTGAGGTAAGTTGGCTGTTTCCAAGTTCACTAGACAGCTCAAAGAAAGCAAACAACACTCAGTGTTTTAAATCCCCCAGGTCAGAGAACCAGGGAATTTCTATGATTATCTAAAAGAATTTATTTTTCCCTGTAGCTACCAACCAGGTAAAAGCCAAAATCAAAGGTAGGTAGATACTGCTCCTATAGGATAGCTGAATTAGAATGTAGAATGGCTCCGGCTCCCTCTCCCTCTCCCTCTCCGTCTCCCCACGGTCTCCCTCTCCCTCTCTTTCCACCGTCTCCCTCTCCCTCTCTTTCCAAGGTCTCCCTCTGATGCCGAGCCGAAGCTGGACTGTACTGCTGCCATCTCGGCTCACTGCAACCTCCCTGCCTGATTCTCCTGCCTCAGCCTGCCGAGTGTCTGCGATTGCAGGCACGCGCTGCCACGCCTGTCTGGTTTTCGTATTTTTTTGGTGGAGACGGGGTTTCGCTGTGTTGGCCGGGCTGGTCTCCAGCTCCTAACCGCGAGTGATCCGCCAGCCTTGGCCTCCCGAGGTGCCGGGATTGCAGAAGGAGTCTCATTCACTCAGTGCTCAATGGTGCCCAGGCTGGAGTGCAGTGGCGTGATCTTGGCTCGCTACAACCTCCACCTCCCAGCCGCCTGCCTTGGCCTCCCAAAGTGCCGAGATTGCAGCCTCTGCCCGGCCGCCACCCCGTCTGGGAAGTGAGGAGCGTCTCTGCCTGGCTGCCCAGTCTGGAAAGTGAGGAGCATCTCTGCCCGCCCGCCATCCCATCTAGGAAGTGAGGAGCGTCTCTGCCCGGCCGCCCCGTCTGAGAAGTGTGGAGACCCTCCACCCGGCAGCCGCCCCATCTGAGAAGTGAGGAGCCCCTCTGCCCGGCAGCCGCCCCGTCTGAGAAGTGAGGAGCCCCTCCACCCAGCAGCCGCCCCGTCTGGGAAGTGAGGAGCATCCCCGCCCGGCAGCCACCCCGTCCGGGAGGGAGGTGGGGGGGGTCAGCCCCCCCGCCTGGCCAGCCGCCCCGTCCGGGAGGGAGGTGGGGGGGGTCAGCCCCCCCGCCCAGCCAGCCGCCCCGTCCGGGAGGGAGGTGGGGGAGGTCAGCCCCCGCCCGGCCAGCCACCCCGTCCGGGAGGTGAGAGACGCCTCTGCCCGGCCGCCCCTACTGGGAAGTGAGGAGCCCCTCTGCCCGGCCACGACCCCGTCTGGGAGGTGTACCCAACAGCTCATTGAGAATGGGCCATGATGACAATGGCGGTTTTGTGGAATAGAAAAGGGGGAAAGGTGGGGAAAAGATTGAGAAATCGGATGGTTGCTGTGTCTGTGTGGAAAGAAGTAGACATGGGAGACTTTTCATTTTGTTCTGTACTAAGAAAAATTCTTCTGCCTTGGGATACTGTTGATCTATGACCTTACCCCCAACCCTGTGCTCTCTGAAACATGTGCTGTGTCCACTCAGGGTTAAATGGATTAAGGGCGGTGCAAGATGTGCTTTGTTAAACAGAAGCTTGAAGGCAGCATGCTCGTTAAGAGTCATCGCCACTCCCTAATCTCAAGTACCCAGGGACACAAACACTGCGGAAGGCCGAAGGGTCCTCTGCCTAAGAAAACCAGAGACCTTTGTTCACTTGTTTATCTGCTGACCTTCCCTCCGCTATTGTCCTATGACCCTGGCAAATCCCCCTCTGCGAGAAACACCCAAGAATGATCAATTAAAAAAAAAAAAAAAGAATGTAGAATGAATTGTTTTATTAGTTCTTTAATTTTTTATTTATTTTTATTTTTTATTTTATTTTTATTTTTGAGATGGAGTCTTGCTTCTGTCGCCCAGGCTGGAGTGCAGTGGCATGATCTGCTCACTGCAACCTCCACCTCCCAGGTTCAAGCGATTCTCCAGCCTCAGCCTCCCGAGTAGCTGGGATTACAGGCATGTACCACCATGCCCAGCTAATTTTTGTGTTTTTTAGTAGAGAGGGAGTTTCACCATGTTGGCCAGGCTGGTCTCGAACTCCTGACCACAAGTGATCTGCCCACCTCGGCCTCTCAGAGTGTCAGAGTGCTGGGATTACAGGTGTGAGCCACTGTGCCCGGCCCAGTTTCACTAGTTCTATGTGAATGTTAGGGCATTTGGGCTCCACACGGTGGCTCAAGCCTGTAATCCCAACACTTTGGGAGACCAGTGTGGGCGGATCACTTGAGGCCAGGAGTTTGAGACAAGCCTGGCCACCATAGTGAAACCCCATGTCTACTAAAGGTATAAAAATATGGGCGCGGTGGCACATGCCTGTAATCCCAGCTACTCAGGAGGCTGAGGCAGGAGAATCACTTGAGCCTGGGAGGCAGAGTGGGAGGCAGAGGTTGCAGTGACCTGTGATCAAGCCACTGCACTCCAGCCTGGGTGACAGAGAGAGACTCTGTCTCCAAAAAAAAAAAAAAAAAAAAAAAAAGGCATTTGATTGGATTAACCGAGTATGCTTTAGTCTCCCATTTATTTTCTCTATTGGCTTTCAGTTATATATCATTTTATATTCTTTAGCGATTGCTCTGGGTGGGCTTGGGACTATGGTAAAAGTGACACTATGCGACTTTCAAAGCTGGAGCATAACAGGCCAGTCAGCCTCTGTGTGGTTCTCTTGCAATCCTCGCTTGGAGTCCTGAGCTGCCAGGTAAGTAGTCCTACTCCCTGTAGTCATCATGCTGTGAAGAAGCCCAAGCTAATTCATGTGGAGAAATCCCACTGACAGGCCCTGAGATTAGATGAAGAGAGTTGCCTAGCCAGTCCCCAAGTGTCCGAGACCCAGCACCATCTGATTGCAACTACGTGAGTAATGCCAGACCACTGCTCAGTCAAACCCTTCCTAAATTCCTGTTCTACAGAAACCATGAGAGGGAAACAAATGATTGCTGTTGTTTTAAGCCACTAAGTTTTGAGTGGGTTTGTTACACAGCAATAGGAACTGCAACCATTGTTTAAAGAAAGAGGGTAAGTCTAGTAACAGTTACTTCATCCTGGCCAGGAGCAGAAGAGGGCACTGATTATGAAAGAGCAGGATCCAAGAATTTAAATGGAGACATTTGGGAGGATTTAAATAACAGAAGTTCTCCAAATCTACTAAGTTTCCTGTACCAGCAGAGTATATCTGATAAGACTAGCGCTACTTTGCTTAAAGACACCATAATGACTGTACCCTTCCATCCCTCACTGCCTTCAGACATAAAAATAAACCAACATGCAAAAAGAACGGCTGATTTTGTTAATTTACAGGGGAAAACCTTGGGACCACATGGTAAAAGAGATTCTAACCATGCTAGACCAGAGAGAAAAAGGATCATAATTTAAATCGGGCTGAATTAAGATATTCATCAGAAATTTTTGATTCGCAGTGCTAACTCAAGCAGCTGGGGATGGTTCTAAATTATTTGCTCAACTGCTTGACTAAAATCTGGACTCAAATGTGGCCAAAACTAAACAAAGTTAAAATGCCAGAAATTCCTTTGTGTAATGTACAGGAAGGCATCCAATAACTTAGAACAAAAAGGCTGTTGTTAATTTATCACTTGCAACCTGCTCATCTACCCCTAACTATGTCCCCAACAGGGCCCAGATGATATTCCTTTTACATTTTAAATGGGAGAACCAGCATTTTTGAAAAGTGCTATGGTAGATGTTCCGTGTAAGCTGGGGAAAAGCTTAGAGGTCCTTTTGTTGAAATGGGCTTCCTGATTTTAACGGGGGTGGTTAGAACCCAGGGTGGGAGAGACTTGCTGATAGCACTGAACCTGGAAGCATTATGAGCATAGTTATTTGCAATCAGCATGGCCACAGTGATAATCAGATATTTAGGTCAGACTAGCATGGATCTTAAGTAGTGACTGACTGATCCTGAAACTTCAGTTCCAAACTAGATGGGCAGCTGATGAAGTTCAAACTTGATATGTATAACATTAAAGAAAAAAATTTCTAGGTTTGGAGACCAGATGCCTGACCTGAGTCTCCATGATAAGACATTGTCTCTCACCCAGTTCCTATCTTTGAATCACTTCAAAGACTCACAGCCTTTTAGATAAAAATAAACAAGAAGCCAATACCATTCAGGAAGGACTCTGAAATAACATAACAAGGATATATCATAGCTCTTCCCTAGTATTTTCCAAAGAAGTAAACATAAATATTTGCCACATAATTGTATCCTGGGGAAATAGAAATACCCCATCTTCTTAGGGTTACCTCTTTAATGTTAACCCTTTGGGACTCAAAACATCATCACGATGAGTGGTTGGGTTAATGAAAGTCTGTCCATCCCATGGTAGGCCCAGTAATCTGGGCCTGAATCTATCTAGTGGTGATTTCTCTAGTTTCCTTCTCTTCCCTTCACTGTGAGTGTACAGTGAATTAGATATATTGAGCAACCAGCAGATCCTCTACTAAGTGCTACTACAGTAAAAAGGGCCAAGCAAAAGCCCCTGAAGCGTACATACTCTTCTCATTAAAAGAGTAAACTCAAAGCAACACTGCATATCTAGTAAACCAGAGGTTGGTGTCATTATCAAAAACTTGTGTATATGTGTGTGCATGTGTGTGTGTGTGTGTGTGTGTGTGTGTGTGTGTGTGTGTGTGGTTTAACCTACCCATTTAAACTGAGCAGAACAAAAATGGGTCCTGGAAAATGTCATGGATTATGATAAACTTAACATAGTGGTGGCTCTGATTACAGCTACTGTTCTGGACATGATCTCTTTGCTGGAATAAATCATTACATGGGAAGCAGGGTACTGATACAGCAAATGT
The DNA here is from genome assembly GCF_000001405.40 of Homo sapiens. Lineage (NCBI taxonomy): Eukaryota > Metazoa > Chordata > Mammalia > Primates > Hominidae > Homo > Homo sapiens. The sequence goes on along the minus strand of NC_000002.12, from coordinate 32,751,087 downwards.
GCTATTCTCTACACAATAACCAGACAACACCAGATATAGCAGCCTTTTACCAGCACAGAGAGAAGTATGCTTGTCCTATCTTGCCTCAGAACCACATGGACTTTATGATATAATTTAATCTGCAATGACTTTGATTGTCTCACCATCCCATGGCCTTGATGACATCATGCTAACAAAACACAAACTAAGATTTAAAAAACTTCTGTGCCAATGTCAACTGAAAACCAATTAAAAATTATCATATAGCTGGTATTAATACTTGTTATTAGGGAAATGTTGAATTTACAAAAATCCATTTGATGTATCACCCCTAAGGAATTCATCTATTAAACAAATCAAGGTTTGTTAAATTAAATATTTAACTTTATATGTTGTAAGAATGCTTCAATATCTAAACCCCCGTTTGAAGAAATTTTAAAGTTTCCCCATGTCAGAAACTCTTCTTTATGAAACACAATCTATGGAATAATCTGTACCTGCTAGTACGTTGCTACTTTCCAAATAAGTAAATTCCCAAGTTAAACAACTAAACCCTTGCATAGTCATATGTACTGGATTATGCTATGTCAACTTGCTTAAACTGGAAACTGTTTCCTAAAATCCCTTTTCCTTCTGATTTCATGTTAGAGTTCATCATAGGAGAACCTATCAAGGATTTCAAAGGCAGAAGTGAAGCAACAGCCTTTACTCTTGGAAAGTTGTCATGGTCTAATATGGTAACAAACAAGATGTGGAGATGCTCTGCAGATCCCAGAACCCATGCTCTGTGTGTATACCTTGTCCTTCCAACTGCTGGCTCTGCTGACCTATAGCATCCCCAGGCCCCTGAGACATTTGCTGTGTGGACTCACAGGGTTAATAGCTATATAGATATAATGGTTGTCCACAGATCCCTCCACAAGCCCCTGCTTCATGGTCCCATTTCAATGTCTGAAAGTATTTGGCTTCTTGGATTTACCTTAAGTTCTGACTTACCCACTTGTGCCAATGTTTCAAGTGGACTAGTCAATGATTCTTGCCTTGATCTTCTGATTCCCTCTTCCATACCTTCATTTCCCCAGCTCTTCTCACATTTGTGTTAAGATTCAACTCCTTTAGTAAACCACTTATTCTCTAAAATACTCAAAGTGGCTCTGCTTCCATAAAACAGGCCTAAGTGATAAAATCTTTTTTTTTTCCCATTTCTACCTTTTGAACTTATGTATCCTTCCATTTGGTAGTAACATATAGGTTAGCTTTTATCCAGTTGATTCTTAAATGCATGATCTCATGTAATCCCTACAATAATTCCAAGTAGTATATATTAACATGCCCATTTTTGAGAGAAAGAAATAAAAGCTTAGATTTCTTAGTCAATTGGCCACCCAAAACCCAAGAAACACTAAGTTAAAAAGCAGGAACTTGATTCTAGCTTCAACACTATTCCACAGGCAGACAGTAGCAAATGTAATGGTATAAGAACATCTGAAAATTCCCTCCACTACAAAATAACCAGAAAACTGGCCAAAAGTGTCAGAACCAACTTTTTCAGAACTCTGAAAATTAACCAAAGACTTGCAATAATACAGGAAGCATTTATTCAAGAGAAATGCTAAATCTTGGTAAGAAGAGCAAGCTTCATGGCATTTTAACTTGTACCATTCCAATCCCCTCTTCTCCAGTTCTGTAGTAGTCTTGAATACCAAGAGCCTGCAATCTTCGTGAAAACTAGTGGCCTGGCAGCCACTGGAGGGGGCAGAATGGGTTTGAAACACCTTTAAAGCTGCATTTCTGGAAAACTGTCATCATATGCCCAGTCTAGTGATTCCCTGGAAAAGCTCACTTGCAAGACTATCTTTATTTGACCTAATTCTAAGCTTGTTCAGTGAAAAGTCTTTCAAAAAACAACTAGAAATGACTGATTAATTTTGCAGCTGCCTGAGGTGGTAAATAACAGTTGGGGCAAACAAATGCAAAGAAACAAGAAAGTATGTTTATACAGGGAAAAGGCAATCAACAGAAACTATCCCTGAGGATGCCCAGATATTAGACTTACTAAACAAAGACTTAAAATCAACTATCTTAAGTAATCCCTGGTACAGGCATTAAGAATATAACTCAGGCCAGGCATGGTGGCTCACGCCTGTAATCCCAGCACTTTGGGAAGCTGAGGCGGGCAGATCTCCTGAGGTCAGGAGTTCGAGACCAGTCTGGCCAACATGGTGAAACCCCGTCTCTACTAAAAATACAAAAATTAGCCGGGCATGGTGGCGTAAACCTGTAATCCCAGCTACCCAGGATGCTGAGGCAGGAGAATCACTGAAACCTGGGAGGCAGAGGCTGCAGTGAGCCGAGATCACGCCACTGCACTCCAGCCTGGGCAACACGGCAAGACTCCATCTCAAAAAAAAAAAAAAAAGAATTGTTAGAACAAAGGCACATTTTTATGATAAAATGTTTACTCCATCAAGAAAGATATAACAATCACAAATATATGTGCAGCTAAAATAACTCCAAATTGCATGAAGCAAAAACTGAAAGAACTAAAGAGAAAAATAAACAACTGAACAATAATATTTGGAGATGTCAATACCTAACTTTTAAAAATGGACAGAATAACTACACAAAAGATGTAAGTAGACATGAATAATGCTATAAACCAACTAGACCTAACAGACATTTAAAGAACACTCCAGCCAACAGCAGAATACACATTCTTCTCAAGTGCACATAAACATTCTCCAGGATATACTATACGACAGGCCACAAAACAAGTCTCAACAAATGTGAAAGACTGAAGTCATAGAAAGTATGTTCTCCAACCACAATTGGGATAAAATTCAAAATCAATAACAAAAGGAATTTTGTGGAAATTAAACAATATACTCTTAAATAATCAATGAAATGAAGAAATTACAACAAAATTAAAAACACTTTGAGATTAACAAAACCAAAACCAAAATATGCTGAAACTTACGGGATGTAGCAAAAGCCTGATTCAATGGAAATTTATACCTATAAATGCCTATATTGAAAAAAAAGTTCTCAAATCAATAATCTAACCTTCCACCAAAAGTAACTAGAAAAAGAACAGCAAACTATACCCAAAGCAAGGAGAAGAAAGGAAATAAAAATTAGGGTATAAATTTAAAAAACAGAGGATCAAAAAATAATAGAGAAAATCAAAAAACCAAAAGTTAAATCTTTAAAATCAAATTACTAAAATTAGAAAGAAAAGGAGACATTACTACCAATCTTACAGAAATAAAAAGGATTACAGGGAAATACTATACTCCCCAGGTATCCTACGCTGAAAACAGGATCCAAGGCTCAGACATCAAATCATATTCTCAAAGAATCTGCTTGGTTAAAAACACCATTCTACAAATATTTATTCTACTTCAAACTATACTATAGTATAGATTGTGATGATTTACCAGAGTTTAATACCTAGTATTCTGCAACCATTGCAAAGAAGACAAAATAAATATAAACAGTTCCCAACTTAACGATGGTCTGACATACAATTTTTTAAATTTACAATGGTACCATAGCAATACACATTTGGTAGAAACTGTACATCAAGTACCCATATAATCATTCTGCTTTTCACTTTAAACTGTATAAGATACAGAACACTTTATTACAAAATAGGTTTTGTGTTACATTATTTTGCTCAACTTTAAGCTAATGTATTTTGAGCACATTTAAGGTAGAATAGGCTAAACTATGATGTTCAGTAAGTTAGGGGTATTAAATGCATTTTAGATTTACAATTATTTTCAACTTACGATGGGTTTGTTGGGAGGTAACCCCATTGTAAGTCAAGAAGCATCTGTATACAAATGAAAAATGAAATCATAATCAGGAAAATCTTCACATTTGGAAATGCTAGGGTACTCAGGATTTCATATATTTCCTCCACCAACTCCCACCCACCGCAACTCTTTTAAGAATGAGGAACATAATAGATGGTGTGTAACTTGTTGCTACCCAACATCAGTTCTGGATATTCTATTAACTGCAAGATGGGTCTGAAGGGCCAGAGTGTGTAACTTTCCAGAGAAGGTGAGAAACACTAGAGCAGTCACCCTGCTTGGTCTGAACTGACCTCTTCTTTCCTCAAATTCTATCCCACATTTTTGTGTTAGATAAGTTAATTCTTTCTCCCTGAGATCTTATACCTCTTCTTTCTGCCAACAAAATTATCTTTCCCAAGGGCAATGCTGGCAGTATTTCCTTTCTTCAGCTAGTCATATTGCATTCCTCAGTCTTCTTCACTCTTTCCAAAATGTTCTGTTTTCTCTGTCTTCCTCCACTTATCCACTCAATTTACATAATTTATTACCAAATAATGAGCTACAAAAGATGTGCCCAGTGAACATAAATAAAGTACCAGGGCCTACATAACATCACTTCTGCAATATCAAAATGTGAATGGCCATAAATCTTCACAGAATGCAAAAGCTTTAGAATTTCTGGCTATTGGTTACTATTTCCCCATGGGAATATACAGATGTGCATTCTTTTTTTTTTTTTTTTTTTGAGATGGAGTTTCACTCTTATTGCCAAGGCTGGAGTGCAATGGTACAATCTCAGCTCACTGCAACCTCTGCCTCCCAGGTTCAAGCAATTCTCCTGCCTCAGCCTCACAGGTAGCTGGGATTACAGGCATGTGCTGCCACGCCCGGCTAATTTTTTGTATTTTTAGTAGAGTTGGGGTTTCACCATGTTGGCCAGGCTGGTTTCAAACTCCTGACCTCAGGTAATCCACCCGTCTCGGCCTCTCAAAGTGTTGGGATTACCGGCGTGAGCCACTGTGCCTGGCCAGATGTGCATTCTTATAGGATGCAAGAAACTTTATATCTAAATGTCTATTAAAAATAATAAAAATACATTCCCCAAACAAAAAAAACATATTTAAATGGGCAACTGGTTGCAATGAACCTGCAGCGCTTGCAAGAATCTTTTCAGATGCAAACCCCAAAGATCATTACCCCCGCTCCACATACATACAAATCTAAGCTGTTTCAACAATCTATAGTAATTCCACACAACTAATTATTAATTTTAATACTTTTTTTTGGCAATGACTATCTCAGCACAAAACTAAGTTGGCCAAGACTCAAGCAGAACTTGTAATTATAACCGGAGTAACATGCTGTTTACTTGACCAGGGAAACCTGCACTATTTAGAGCAAAGGTCATACCCTAAATTGCCCAGAGATGCTTGCCAATTTTTGAGATGAATATAGTGGGCTGGTAGATGAGCATCCAAAGGAAAGAGCCACTGCTTAGCTCCAGCCAGTTAGGACACCAACATGAGACTCTGGCTGCTCAGTGTTTCCACATCTTTAAACTCTTTAAGAGAGGCCAAGAAGTCTAGATTTTTTAAGATGAAGTATCCTTAAAATATTTATTTATTATTATTTTTTTTTCAAAATACTGAGTTAGGCAAAAAAAAACTGTCTCTCTGGCCTATATTCACCCATAAGCTGCCAGTTTGCAACTTCAGATTTAGGTCATTAAACTCCCACCCCACAGTGGACATCACAGTTGCTTTTTTCCTGCTCAGCATCCCTTCCCTGATCTTCTGAAAATTAAACTCCTCTTCCCTGAGGAAAACCCACTTCATGTGTGGTCCAGGTAGTTCCTATCAGATGAGATGGCAGAAGGCACATGACTCAAGCCCTTCAGTCTTCCACTGAATCGTTCTTTAGAGATGTGGAATTGACTGTATTTTTCCACTGAGATTACTAAACTTGGGCTTCCTGTGGCCATCATGTCTGCCTCAGGGAGAGAGCTAAAAAGTCCTGATGATATCATCTGAGCCCCTGGAAGAGCTCTCATGCGAAGTCTACTAGAATTTTCAGTAGCAAGAACCAATAAAATATCCTTTTTTGCCTAAGCTAGTATGTGTTAATTATTTTACAACCAAAATAGTTTTAACATATTACTAAAAAATTGTGTTGCATAATCTAGTCTATAGACTTCCAACTACAAGAAGATCTGTGAGGATATATGTGCTTTTTTTTTTTTTTTTTTTTTTTTTTTGAGACAGAGTTCACTCTGTTGCCCAGGCTGGCAGGCTGGAGTGCAGTGGCGTGATCTTGGCCCACTGCAAACTCCACCTCCCGGGCTCAAAGGATTCTCCTGCCTCAGCCTCCTGAGTAGCTGGGATTACAGGTGCCCATCACCATGCCCAGCTAAGTTTTGTATTTTTAGTAGAGATGGGGTTTCACCAGGCTGGCGGGCTGGTCTCAAACTCCTGACGTTGTGATCCGCCTGTCTAGGTCTCCCAAAGTGCTGGGATTACAGGCGGGAGCCACCACGCCCGGCCATGGATGTATGTGCTTTTAATCAGATATTTCAAATGTCAAATCTACTTACTAAATGAATGACCATGAACAAGCTAAACTAACATTTTGAGAGTTTCTTCTTCATTTTTGGCTTACCTACCTCAGAGAGGTTGAAAGAAGCAGTAAGCCCTAAACTGTTTATCTTCTTCCTCAACTCCTTCCATTAGAAAACCAGACTGGAAAGCAAGACACTTGAGGTTGCCCTACCTCTAGGAAGAGGGGACTTGAAAGAGCTTCTAGGAACATTAATATTTTCCATAAATAATCACACTGGTCAACTGTGTAGTTTCTCCAAAAACAGAAAAATTGCTGTTGTCAACATTAAATAGATGATTACAGAACTTAGCCAAGAAGAATCAAGAAAGTGAGGTCAAAGAGAAAAAAATTACTAATAGTAGAAGATCAAAACTAAATTTTTCCACATAAGGCTAATTTCCACCAAACATTGGATTTTTTATTAAAAGTGTGGAAAATCACAGGAGTCCTAAAAATCTCAGAAAGGAATCTATGCAAGATACAAACCAAGGAGATCACTGCTTTAGAGCAGGACAGCAGAGAAAGAATTATGTAGCTGTAAATATGAGAGCCACATAGAATTTGGAATCTGTACATACTTTTATCTTAGCACTGTCATACTAAAATATTTGCTCATGTGTATCTATCATATCGGACTATAACTGTGTTTGTAGTAAGTTTGTCTATTAGTCATCTTTGGAATATTCTTACCCAGCAAACAGTAGGTAGTCTATAAACATTGGATGAACTCAACTGGAACTAATACTAAAGTCACAAAGGGCTAATGGTATTTTCTAAGGTCCTTCAGATACTAAACAGAAACATAAAAGATCCTTCACATTTGGGAACGACAGGAGAACTCCTTTAGGTGACACACTCTAGCTGAAATCAATACTGAGTATCACTACATGACTAAATTAGGAGAGATCTAACAAAAATTTACCCTAGTGAATAGAGAGGTCATATAGCAGAATCTGAATTTCACATGCCCTTCTAACCAAATGATGAGAACTAGGAAGCAACTCTTCTTAGGACTATAAACACAGAGAAGCAAAACTGATGGCCTGAAGGGGGATTTTGGGTATTTGAGGGGTTCCCCATCCTGATGGTGTATTTTGCGATAGAACAGTCCAGTGTTGAGAACTGAGAATTTCAGGTATGTGCAAGAAAAGGAACTAATATATTGAAAACCTGCTATATTGGGGCTCATTTATATTTATGATGATATGGTTTTTCTGCAAGTTGTTATATGGGAAATTTGAGATTTGTGGGAGAGAAGATCCTACCCTAAGCACCACTAGGATTCCAGGAAGCACTCTGTCAGGGATGAAGCCTTGGGTTTGGGGTAAAGAATATGGGTGAAAAATTAAGTTGAGCCTCCAGTGAAAAGGTAGACAAAATATTTCAGGAAAGTTATTCATACTTGAGTGAGAAGGAATGAAACTACCCTTTTTGGCTGTGATCTGTGCCTTAACTTTGTGAATTAGCGGAAATTTTGTGAATTAATGGAAAGAATTAAAATTCTAATGTGTGATAAGAGTGGTTCTTATCTGACCTTGCAACTGGTCAGTATATTAGGAAGGGAAATTGGCAGACCAACAACTATAGGAAGCCCTCCACGTAAAAAATGAAGGGGAAAAAAATAAGCTCTAGACCCAGAGATGGCACCAACTATGAAGAGTATCTTTGAGGACCACATGAAGAGCAAAATTAGACTTAATAAATACAGGTTTGCTCCAAGAGAATGGAGAAAAAGCAGGCTAAGAATTTAAGGTTCCCCAATTAGCCAGATTTGGCATCTTGACAATAGCTTTAGGATTAAAAAAAATTTTTAAAAAGTGTGTGCGCACACACACACAAGGGACTCACAAAACATTGGCCATAGTCTAATTCTAGCCTTCTACCTTGAAGCAGAGAGCAAAAAATGGATTCTGATTCTATTGTAGAGGCTGTTTCTCAATGACAGGGAGACTGACCACTGAAAGGTGCTCTACGTCCTCAATACAGTACATAAAGATGACAGGGGCACAGCTGACAGAACTCCAAAGCACGTTTCCCTCTCACCAAGAACAACCCTTTTAGCAGAATGGCAATTTACTCCTAGTCTAAATTCTTATTCTATGAGCAGCAGCTGAGAGGTGACAAGTGCAAAACACTTTGCCCCACCCATCAGACACTCCCAGCTACACTTCTGTGTAGTGGTGTCTACTCCTACTTACTCTCTCATGGAGCCAAATGTTCACTAATTGTTTTTCACAGTTATATGTGTGACAACACCATGCTCTGGCTTGATTTTTTTAAAGGTTACTTGCCAACATAAATACTCCAGGTCCAAGATGAAACAGAGTAATTAAAAACAGGCTTTATTATTCAATTAGTTGATCATCTCTTATTTGCATTACCAATTTATAGAGTATTTTCCATTATTTTGCCTATTTTTCTCAATCAAGTGAGCACAACAGGTTTTAACTTACAAAGCTAATATCCAATTTTTAAGGGATTAACAATAACCATGATGGGAGGCAGTTGTGGGGAAATGGGTGCTGGCTTTAAAGGAAATAAAGGTCTGAGCTCATATTCCAAAACTGCCACTTAGTAATGCTAATCAGTAAAGTGATGAAAACAATCCATATTTTGTGGGTTGTTATGAATAGCATATGACAATTATAAAATAATTATATAAAGAATGCAGTACATATAAGGCCCTCAAAAGATAGCATTACATAATAATATGCTCACAGTTTCCTTAGCATTTACTGAGCAAGAATCAAAATTCTTTAAGGTTTGTTCCTATTTCTACTCCTAAAGTTAGAAGGTTCAAATGGGAGTGGGGGAATCTCATAATTTGTTTTTGGAGAGAGAAGAGTAAGGCAGTGGTTGGAGGGGTATCTTCTGCCACATGCAGTCATCCATAAGGAGTGTCCTACATGGAGATTGCTTCAATGAGATAACTATTGAGTGATCACTTACTAGTTACTCATGCAGCAAATATGATTGACTTCTTGCTACATGCCAAAACTTTGCCAGGTTCTGGGGCAACAGCTGTTTTTTTGTTGTTGTTGTTGTTTTGTTTTTTGTTTTTTTTATTGGATTCTCGCTCTGTCACCCAGGCTGGAGGGCAGTGGTGTGATCTCAGCTCACTGCAACCACCACCTCCCAGGTTCAAGTGATTCTCCTGCCTCAGCCTCCCAAGTAGCTGGGACTACAGGCACATGCCACCACGTCCGGTTAATTTTTTTTTTTTTTTGTATTTTTAGTAGAGATGGGGTTTCACCATATTAGCCAGGATGGCCTCCATCTCTTGACCTCGTGATCTGCCCGCCTCAGCCTACCAATGTGCTGGGATTACAGGCGTGAGCCACCACACCTGGCCAACAGCTGTTGACACAGGTCTGGTTCTTAAGCAGCTTACATTTAGTAGATCAGATGAGCCAACAAATGGGGTACCAGAGTAGTTTGGGTGCCATAGGAGTACACAGGTGGATGGTACCACCAAATGTGGGAGGAAAGTATCTGGGAAGGCTCTCTGTAGAAAGCAATCTCCTAAAGAATAAGTAGCAGTTAGCTGAAAGAAGACAAACGTTCTAGACAGACAACAATTACAAAGGTCTGAAGTGAGACGGCGCTACAAAATCAAGAACTTACAAGTACTTTAATTCAAGCTATTAAAGTACTGCTGGAACTTCAGGTGCAACCTGGATGACAGAGTAGGTATGAAGGGGAGTAAAAGAAGGAGAAAATGCAGTTGGCAATGGAAACAGGAGACAGATCATAAAGTGAGGCTGGGTGCGGTGGCTCATGCCTGTAATCCCAGCACTTTGGGAGGCTGAGGCAGGCGGATCACCTGAGGTCAGGAATTCAAGACCAGCCTGGCCAATATGGTGAACCCTCATCTCTACTAAAAATACAAAAATCAGCCAGGCAAGGTGCTGCACGCCTGTAATCCCAGCTACTCGGGAGGCTGAGGCAAGAGAATCGCTTGAACCCAGGAGGTGGAGGTTGCAGTGAGCTAAGATCGTGCCACTGCACTCCAGCCTGGGCGACAAGAGCGAAACTCCATCTCTAAATAAGTAAGTAAGTAAATAAATAAATAAATAAAGTTGTCTGTAAGCCACTCATTCGAAACAGCTCAGACTTAACCCTGGAAACAGAGAGAAGTTACTTGGGGTGAGAATGGCAGATTTGTCTTTAGGAAGACTATTCTGGCTATAGTTTGAGGAAAGAACTTCTGGGAAAATCTTTTAAACTGTATAAAGAATCTCTATGATAGAAAAAAAAAAAGCCCCCAAAACAGGAAATCCAAACCAATTGCTAAAAAAGTCTTAGCTGTTTTAGAAATACAACATTAACTTACAATTTAAAGGAAAACTTTTTAAGAGTCCATGATTACAATGATCTGCAAATGTAGCATAATAAAAGATAGGACCATGTAATCTCAGGGAAGCCTTGCTTCCTTGAAACAAGAGAAAACAAGAGAGGTCCCAACCCTTATCTATCCCTAACCCCTCACCCTCAGTCTTTGTCTCTCATTTAGGAACCAAATTTGCTCAACAAAATAAGAATACATCTATCAGCTAGGGGAAATTGCTGTAAGTGGGTCGGATAACCTTTAAATACTAAATGCTAACAGATGAGAACCAGTTCTGATACCAAGGTCGAGCAAAATTAATCTTAGCTATTTTGCCTATGGTCATTAAATAACAAGAATGTATGCCGGTAGTTTCTAAGCTAGAATTTCTGAGACCCTACAACACCGGGATGTAAACATGAGCACCAGAACACAATAATTAGAATTAAACATTTCTCCAAATTTGCCTTTTAAAAATAAATTATGCCAATTAAGCATTAAATGCAAGGATTAAAATTTCACAGACTTCTAGTTAAATCAAAATGTGGTGACAGCTACTGGCACATGACCAAATACCAAAAGAGTATCAGCTGTTTTAGAAATAAAACATTTGCTTCTAAATTGCAGCAAAACTTTTTAGGGTCTATGGTTTAAAAAATCTGCAAATATAGCATAAGAAAAACAGGTAAAGGAGGTCTTTTATGGGTTAAATAAAATACTAAAATCAACTTTTAAGATCAAGATTTTGGGGGCTGTTTGGCTAAAACTCACAAAAAACTTAAGACAAAGTAAATGACTATACATTTCTAAAATTTTAAATATGCACATTTTCTAGAGGATTTAGAAACAGAAGCATTTGTCATTATTACACACAATTCTTACAAGGTCATGTGCACATTTAAAAAAATAATAATCATCACAACTACTTAGGGGGACAGTCAAATCCCTTCTCTGAAGGGGATGGATTCATTATGTTTTTTCTCCTGCAATTAAGGAAAGTCTCATCTTTCCATACTTTCTAAAAATAATTAAATTAATATTCTAAAATATGCTTTGAGCATTTGTGATTTACCAACTTGCTTATTTCAAATATTATTATTTCAAAAACTACCATATTTTTATATAAAGTTATTACTTATTTCTTGGCCAGTGTAAAAAGACTAGCACAGTAAAGAATGATGCAATGGGAACTACATCAGACTGGAAGTCAAGATATTCATTCATCCATTCATTCCTTTGTTAAACAAACATCTGAGTACTACTTTAGTGTCAGACAACGGGCACTAAAAAGATATTTAAGTCGCTGAAGAAATACATGACTATATTTCATCAAATTTGAGATGCTATCAGTTGTAAGACAAACTCTGTTAAAGAAAGAAAAAATGCTTTTAATTATAATCTAATGCCTCTTGTTTGCTTTGATTTTTTTCAGTCTATTCAGAAAAATTTGGCAGTTCTTCCTGCCTTCAATACGTTGCTTGACATTTTAAATGACAACCTTTCTTCATACATCTCAGTACAAAACAAAGCTTCATCTACTTTTGGGTATCCTTCTTTCTTGACTCTCATAAAGCACTTGGTTGCTGCTTTTAAAGAAAAGTAAATGGAATTGTGATGATTTATCTGATGGCAAATGTTTATTTCAGTAATACTAAATTTTCATTTCTCTAATTTGGTTCTGTCTTTTTCTCTGTATTCAATAACTTTTTGTTTCAGTGCCAAATCATAATGAAATCCTTTTGAAGATATTTTAAATGGCAATTAAACACAACATACGTAGTGCTGACACCTTGTCCACAACTCAACTGAAATGGTGGCCTAAATGTAGCTATCATTAGCTTTCACATGCACAGGTATGGACAACCTGACAGGACAGCCACCTGAATTAGAGCAAATGGAAGATGCCATCAATTGTTAAATACATTCCAATTTTAGAGATATTAAAATATGAAGAAAAAACATCTCGTAGAATCACAGCAAGTAATGGCAGCAAGCACTCATGTCACATTATGAGGTAAGCACTAGAGTACGTACTTTACATATATTATCTTACAAAAACCTATAAGGCAAATAGATTAAGTGCTTCCAGATGAGGGAACTAAGACAAGGAAGATTAAAGCAACTTGTCCAACATCACAAAGCTAGCATGAAGCAGGCTGGCATTTGACTACCGGCAGCCAGAGACCAGAGGCTATATGCTTTTAGCCACCATGCCATACTACCTCGCAAGTAAAGAGTCAATAACCAGCTTGTGATCTGAAGCAAATCATAAGGGAAACCTTTCCTCATTTACAAAAGGAGGGAGCTAGAATGGATGTTTATGGGGTTCTTTTCCAGGATAAAAATATTATAACTCTATCAATATTTTTTTGAGATAGGGTCTCACTGTGTCGTCTAGGCTGCAGTGCGGTGGCATGATCACAACTCACTGTAGCCTTAACCTCCCAGGCCCAAGTGATCATCCTCCCTCAGTCTCCCAAGTAACTAGAATTACAGGCATGCACCACTACACCCAGCTAATTTTTTATTTTTTAATTTTGTTTTTTTGTAGAGATGGGGTCTTACTTGGTTGCCCAGGCTGGTCTTGAACTCCTGGGCTCAAGCGATCTTCCCACCTCAGCTTCTCGAGGTGTTAGGATTACAAGTGTGAACCACCATGCCCAGTCGATAATCTTCCACAGTAAAACTTTGTTCTTATTCTGGTTTCTCCTTAAGTCAATACAATTCAAAGACCTTCACTGCCATTAACTGATTAGTGAAAGAAATGCAACTTTCACTATTAATCTAAAATAGACATACTTAGGAAGGTATTTAAGAAAAACACATGCTTGAACCACTATTGCTCTTTTTTAGGGTGATGGCAAAAGGTTGACTGTAGGTATAAATGATCCAATTTGTGGGCTTTACTCTGCTTGCTTATGTACTCAACTTAAGTCTTTTAAATTTTTAATCCAAAATTTAACATATGATTTCAATGTGTCAGTTTTTAAAGTGACTAACAATGCAGAGCCCCTTATTCTTCTTAAAATTCTGTTCATGTATGAGGGGAAAAAAACAACAGACAAATAACAGATGCAAATATTGCAACATTTTCCCTCCTGGCCCAATTTAAGGGTAGAATTAAATGTGCATTACACACTTGACAACTCTTCTGCCTCAAGAGGTGTCGTCACACCCTTTGGATTTTCTTTTAAAGACCAACCCAGCTGCTCTCACCCTCTCTCCTAGGGAACCTCCATTGAGGCCCACAGCATCTGATCATCAGGCAACCCAGTGATCATTAAAATGATTCCAAATATTTCGCTTTGAAGTCATCCTAAGGGAGAAGGTGAGTAAAGGAAAGAAATCAAAATCCCACGTCTTCAAAGCTCTTGTTAGTCTTTCTTAAAAATTTTGTAAAAATCTGCCCCAGTGGAAATCAGAGAAAACATTTAAAAGTTTTCTGGAAAAAAAGTGAAAAAAGGAATATAAGTGAATATTGGCAAAAGTGGGTTTGAAAAACAAAACAAGTGAGAAGATGCTCCCAGAGGGAAGGCTCTCACCAGTACATCAAATTGGACTATTACATACCTTTCCGTGCTGCCCGGCTCTTTCATAACAAATGACAACATCTTCCCACATTTCTAGCTTTTCAAATATCTGAAGGGCTGAACTGGTACATCCCAACTCAAAGAGCAAACTTGCAAGTTGGCGCTAGAAAAATCAAGTAAAAATAATTAATACTTCTTGGTGTAAAAAGAGATTCCTGTTTCACTTGCAGGTGTACCTAATCTGCCTTTTTAGGGGTCTGCTTATTGTAATAAATGTATAAATTCTACAATCTGTACTATTTAGAAGTTTGTAATAATTCAATACATACCTTTACTTTAGAAAACAAGCCTCTTTATAGGGTATAAGGAATTAAAGAACAATTTTTTTGTTGAAAATGCTAAATATATACAAATTTTCTCTAAGAACTTAAAAAGCAAAAATAAATATTTCTTTTTTACCTAGACACTCTGTATATAACAATCTCTAACTTATGAGGCTGAGATCCAATAAATTAATTTTTAAAACTCTGAGCAGTCAATAGAGATGACATAAAATCTATGCATTAGCCCTGCTGAATTTTATTCAGAAGGGCATATCTAGCTCTTTCTCACTCAAAGCTACTTAGATTTATTTCAAGCACATTCTAACAAACTTTGCTACCTAATTTCCCAGTCCCTGGCAGATAAAAAAAAGAGCAAACTGAGTTAAGGTCAGTGAAAGTTAAACATATTTAAAAATAAATATATTGTGGTTTATAAGTGTTAACACCTGCACAAAGGGAAAAAAAATTTAAAGATTTAAAAAAGTAGGTAAGGTCAGAATAAAGTGTAGTTTCATATTAGAGAGAGCTGTGTTGTTCTCTCTTAAGTATACTTTTACTACTCTGAAAATTCAACACATATTTAAGAGTTAAGTCCAGAAAAATCTAGGACTGATAATATCAGAAATATGCCTAAAAATTATAAGCTACAGATTATCAAAATAAATAATGAGAATGATCCAATACATCAGTAACCCATGGAATACAGGAGAATCTGGCTATTTTAGAGAATATAATTGGACATTTTCAAAAACTGCCCATGGCATGTGAGAGCTGGAATAAATCTTGGTGCTTATGCAGTGAGCAGTACAATATCTTCATTTAACAGATGAAGAAAGTTGATGACATCCAAGATGATATGGCTAGTTAGTAGCAAAGTAGAGACTAATTCTCTTTTTATAATAAACTGTTCTGTTATTTCTCAATCTTTAAAATAATACACAAAGATAGTCCCCATGATGCAAGAAAAAGTAATTAACGTCTTAATGAAAAATGATCCTTATCTAACTGCCTGAAGATCCTGAAATCTACAGCTTCCTAGGCAGATAAGCATTTGGCCTAAATTCAGTTTGAACAGTATTTGTTTCCTAATGTTTCTGTTCAGAAAAAGATAAAAAGCAACACCCTCAATAGACACATTTTGTCATAACAGCTCAGTCTGAAATGTTTATCCATCAAACCACATAATATAAAGCACCTAACCAATTTCACAGATCAGAGTCAAAAACACACTAAAAAATTCCAGCTGTTAACACATTCTTGATGAAGAAGCTATTCCTTTTGAGATATCATAAAGCTTTTTTACTTGCATATGTTTTATTGAGATTCCTTCAATATGTAAACTGAACTCCAATGCACAATAAACCTCCTAGTTCACCCTGTGTTTAAGAATATAACCTACTTTAAGAAGTCTTATAATGGGGATTTTAAACGATTGGATGGTGGGTTGGCATTTATGTTTCTAACTCACTACCTATGTGTATGATCCATGAAAGAGAGGACAGAAAACTGGTTAAAATAACAATAGTAGATAAATCATCTGTAATCCCCTGGCTGGCTCCATCTGACTCCACTTAACCTCTCTGTGACTTAGCTTCCTCACGTGTAAAACAGATATTTTTAAAAATTGTTGCAATAAAATAAGAGAATATGTGTGGAATGCAGAATAAAATATATGCATCATATTAAGTATGCAGTAAAAGTTGGTTGTTATTAGCTGGTATAATTTCAACCCAATGAAAAGCTAAGGAAAAGAGATAGATTAAAAGTGAGGAAACTAGAAACCTAGTTCATGTAGATTGGGTGATCAACACCAGAAAACTAATTGCACCGAGCCTCAATTTCTCCTCTGTAACATTAAGAAACTGGGTCAGGTGTCTTAAGTTATTTTCAGTGCTAAAATTTTACAAAATAGGGAACTACACCTATAATACAGGAGAACCATGTAGACAAGGGGCCAGAATCCCCACCCCACCATGTGCCATTAGGAGCTACAGTAGGTATTCTCATAGCCTCAGAAAGAGGAGAGTAGTCATGTGTATCTCACAACTTAAAGTATACCAAATAAATGCTTTCTTTTGCTTTTTGTAAACAACTTGTTTAAAAGGTTCCTTCTTTGGCAGAAAGTCCTTAAAATAATTTTAATATAAGAAATTATTTCAAAGCCAGGCATGGTAGTGCACATCTGTAGTCCCAGCTGCTCAGGAGGCTGGAGGCAAGAGTGATTGCTTAAGCCCAGGGGTTCAAGGCTGTAATGCACAATGATCACACCCGTGAATCGCCACAGCACTCCAACCTGTACAGTAAAGCAAGACCTCATCCCTTAAAAAAAAAGAAGTTACTTTCAAAATGCAAGCATTTATGATTCTATTATTTTATTTCTAGGATTCTATTTCATAAGATTTTAAATTATTTTAAAAATGTTTTATGAGTCTAATATCACTTTAATCAAAATAGCAATTTGAAGTAGTTAGCAATTCCCAGGCAGATACATTTATTATCTTTAGCAAAATATTTGAAAATTCAAACATAAATTAAAATCATCAATTTATAATGCATTTACCTTTCTAATGCCAAGTAATTTCCATACCCAATGACAAACAACAGAAATACCTGAATGGCCCAGTGAGGTGGTACTTGACAGCAATAGAAAATCTTCAGGCGTTCCAATACAGATGTAGTTTTATCTTCAAATTGGTCTGCAAGAGCCTTAAAGGACATATATCACAATCAGAATCTATATGTATAACTTATAATATAAATAAGTCCTTATTGTAATAGTTATACAAATGCACATATAAACAACAAAGAACTTAAGTCATTTTGATAAGGTGATAGGATGTGTGAATTTTTTCTCGAATTTCTTTAAATGTTCAAAAAACTTTAAACCTAATCCACATTTACATAAACATGTACATTAAAAACTTACCAGAAAAAGTTTTAATTTCCTATAATAGTTCTTTCAAAGAGCTAGCCTTATTGATAAGCCTTTTTACTTCTTCTATGAAGAACTGTTCTTTAGCTTATCTATTTCACAACATAATGCCACTTTGACCATGGCACTTTATAATATAAATCAGAGAAAAATTACATGAAGAACTCTATGTAGGATTATTTGCTCAGGAATAAAATGAAAGGAAAAAGTAGCCTATTTGATCACAGAGAGCAAGTTCTCTCACTCTTCAGCAACAGAGCAATAAGGCTGGACATTCACTCATGTGAGACCATCTATACAGTGCAGTGGGCAGCTGCAACCCACATACATGAAAGAATCCCTCTGATGTACTGAAATTTCTACAATGGTACTGAATAACTAAACTCTCAGAAGCTACATCAAGAAGCAGACCAACAAGACCAAAATAGCTGACTTTGAGACAAGGTACCAGGGCCAACTGCAAACTCAAAGCTGGAGCTATCCAGTGGTCAAATGATTCGTCATAGAAGAGCTCATGTATTCAGCATCAAAGCGAATGAAGACACATTGTGGGATTGCTAGAGAAGCATGTGGACAGCAGCCCCATTATCATGATCATTTTCTCCTGCCTCTTCATTTGCCATTCAGTTTACATTAAGTGTACATATTTTTCTGGTATTATACACTTATACCTACTCTCAACTGAGAATTATCATGATCTTTTTTCTACAATGCAGTACTCAAATTTTCTTTTTTTGCCAGTTGACTAGTTTTCACAGGCCTCTCTTATGAGGATTAGACGGTAGTGAAAAGTCAATGTTAATTTCCTGATGTTATTATGCATACTGGGTTATGTAGGAGAATGTCGTTCTCATATTTGAGGATGATGAAGCACCATGTTGGCAACTTACTCTCCAAAACTTCGGGATGCAAAAGACAGTTGCACTGTTCTTGCAACTTTTTGGTAACTTGGAAACTGTTTAAAATTTTTACAAAATTAATTTTTTAAATGGAAAATTTCAAAAAATAGTAAAAAAGGGAGCAAGTCCAAGCCTCAGGAGAAAAAAAAAGGACGGGAATCTACCATGTCCTGGTAAAAATCTAAGACAGGGAGACCAGTTTCTGAGCAGGGAGGCTTCTCCTAAATTGAAAGTTCTCTATTTTACACTGGCTGGGAGATACATTTATTAGCCTAAGAATATCTTGTGGTATGAGCTCAAGTGTGAGAAAACACACATTACACAACACTTCGTTGACAATCCAAGATGTTATTCAGTCAAGTCAGTCAGAGCAAACTGAGACATAACCAGACTCCTAAACCATCTTGGTCAAAATATGTTTAAAGCTTTCTGGCCTCACTTCATAGAAACTTAATAGCAAAAAGATTGCATGCTGCTGCCCAAAGCTGTTTAGTTGTGGGAGGGAGGGTAGAGAAGAATAACTTCTGGCTGCATACATATGGTTACAATACATAAATAAAGAGATCACTGAGTTACTTCATAAAAGGAGAACAAATTACTTCATAGAGAAGGGATACTTTTTTATCAATTCAGTTTTTTTTGGAAAGAAAAAATAACTAATGCTCTCCATTAATAATAAAAACAAAAGCAACATTGTAAAATTTACTATTACTAACACCTAATAACATGCAAAAAATTAATTTTCAAAAAACTCATGGTTGTTGGCTATAGTTACTAAAACTAGCTAAAGCATATTAGGTACTCAGTAAATATTTCCTCATTTACTAATAAACACATTTATTATGTATTTCAGATACTCTCAGATACTTTTGGAGTTTTTAAGTGTCTCTTACAACTCTCGGATACTCTCCAAAATGGCAAAGACCACTAAAGACAGTGCAGAGAACCAACACTCATTTGACCTGAATGCCATGAATAAGCCCCCATACAAAAACCTGATTAAGCCATATGCATGATAAAGATCAAAAACAGAACTCTAGGTTGGGTGCCACCCCAAGCACTTTGGGAGGCCAAAGTAGGAAGATCACTTGAGCCCTGGAGTTCAAGACCAGCCTGGGCAACATGGTAAGACCACATCTCCACAAAAAAATCGTTAAAAAATAGCCAGGGTTGGTGGCACGTGCCCATGGGCCCAGCTATTTACGAGGCTGAAGCAGGAGGATCACTTGAGCCCAAGGAGGTCAAGGCTGCAGTGAGCTAGGTTTGTGCCACTGCACTCCTGCCTGGGTGACAGAGCAAGCCCTGTCTCAGAAGGAAAAAAAGGGGCCAGGCACAGTGGCTCACGCCTGTAATCCCAGCATTTTGGGAGGCTGAGGCAGGCGGATCAGGAATTCAAAACCAGCCTGGCCAACATGGTGAAACCCCGTGTCTACTAAAAATACAAAAATTAGCCGGGCATGGTGGTGCATGCCTGTAATCCCAGCTGAGGCTGAGGCATGAGAATCACTTGAGCCCAGGAGGCGGAGGTTGCAGTGAGCCGTGATTGCACCAATGCACTGCAACCTAGGCAACAGAGTGAGACTCTGTCTCAAAAAACAAAGAAACAAAGGAACAAAAACACAAAAAAAACCCCACACATACACACGCAACGGAACTCTAGCCTATTTTCACTCCTGCACAGAAAATATTTCTTCCTGCCTTATGCATGACAACCATCTACATAAAATTTAACTATCAACGAAAACTAAGAACATTAAATTAATATACAAAAGTTAAGGCTTGGCCGGGTGCAATGGCTCATGCCTGTAATCCCAGCACTTTGGGAGGCCGAGGTGGGAGGATCACTTAAGGTGAGGAGCTCTAGAACAACCTGGCCAACATGGTGAAACCCCATCTCTACTAAAAATACAAAAATCAGCCGGGTGTGGTGGCGCAGGCCTGTAATCCCAGCTACTTGGGAGGCTGAGGCAGGAGAATTTCTTGAACCCAGGAGGCGGAGGTTGCAGTGAGTCAAGATCACGCCACTGCACTCCAGCCTGGGTGACAGAGTGAGACTGTCTCAAGAAAAAAAAAAAAAAAAATAAGAAAGTCTTGATAGGTGTACTGTTTATTTGCCTACTTCCTCTACTGGATCCAAAGTACTCTTTTTTTTTTTAATTTGCTAATTTACTAAAAAGACAGGGACATTGTTATAGTGCATGTCTAGGTTTTTCAGACCAGGATTATTTCTAGCAACGCAATCTGAAATAATTCCATCATATTCAACCAAACCTGAGTCCTTTACAGGCACAATAAATGGAAGAAAATCAGTGACGGCAAGTGAAGCCACTTGGATTATGTCCTTGTTCTATCCCCAGCAAGCAAGTAGTTTAACTACAATGGCATTTTTCTATGAGATGATTTTTTGAACAATACTTGTGTTTTCAATGGTCTAGGAGTATGGCTTTATCAAAAGAGTATTTTGTTTTACTTCAAGCATTTCAGAAGGTTTGTTGATTAATTTTAAGCCGAACACAAGTATTAGGTACATTCATTAGAAGCAAACCATGTGCCCAAATAGCCTGGAAGAAGACAATGGAAGAATGTCAGGTACTGTGAGAATGGGACTGAATGCACGTGAAGCCTCACTACTATTGAGGTATTTATGTGCATGAATGCGAATATAAACAATGTGCTCCATGAGATAGAAGTACCTCGCAAGCTTTCACACACGCCCAGAAATTTAGGTAAATGGTCTCCAAAGCAGTGTGTCCTACCCTTGCACTTACCCATTTTCTCTTTCCAGTTTCTAAATTTCATTAATTTTAGGGCTTAGTCATAAGTAAAAAGTGGTATGAGGAGGTGGTCTTTAAGGAAAGATGATAATGTCAAAAATGGAGACAGGGGGAGAAGAAGCAAATATACCCTAAACCAATCATTAAGGGCAGTTTGAAGCAAGACAGTCTACTCTAGGTGGATGACTGAAGAGATGTGAATAAACGTAAAAGGTAACAAGCAGAGAGAGAGGAGGCCCCTGGGGCGCGGTCCAGAAGTAGGGGCTGGATATACCAGAGGTGACTTCATGTTGCATGGACTACTGTGATATGAGACTGTTTTCAAGTTTTAAGACTCCCTTTTAATGCCATTTACTCCCTAACTCCGCCTAAAGACATTTATACTTTCAGTGTCCTTTGAGAATATGTATTTGTGCATAAAGACCCCCTAACCCCATGCAATAACAATTCCCAAATCTTCCAGGAGCCACAGTGTCACAGGTCAAGGGATATCTCTATGGAATGGGGAATAAAACCCAAGAAAGCAATGATGTCCCCTCTCCTTTCAATGCTCTGTTTTCAACAGAGAAGGAATTTCCCAGAAAAAAACTAGAGAAGATCAAAACTACATTTTAAAATTAGCACATGGAGAATGATTTAGTAAAAAAGGACAATTCTGAAAAATGTCTGGTATGATTTAGACTTATTTATATGTTCTCATCTAAAAGTATGGCACACGTTTTCAAAAGAATAGAGATAGTCCCAAAGGACCTACCCTTTTCCTGAAAGCTATCCATTCTCACTAGCATGACATCTACGTGTTCATTGGCTTTTTGAAGGGTCAGGTAGAAATTAGCTGATAATCTAAAAGTTATGACTGATCATATGCCATATCACTTTATGCTGGCTTTGCTGTGCAATCTTTGTACGTGTGTGTGTGTGTGTGTGTGTGTATAGGAAGATGGAATTTATTATAAAAATATGTATATAATCCAATAGTTGAGCCAAACAGCTTTCTCTAACAGGAGTCTGCAGTCAATTCAGCTGTAATTTACAAATAGACTAGTCAAGCTCATTGCCATCTCAAACCTCCAAGCCCAAGAAAATTGCCAATGGGAACAGGGAGAATAACAATTAAAACTGTTAACACACCTAGTAAGTATCAACACCATCATTAAACTTATTGTGAACCCAGTCTTTCCTCATACATAGAACACTGTTGCTGTGAGAGATAAAAATGACTTGCCCAAAGTCATAAGGCGATGAAATAGGTGAGCCTGTCAGACTCCAAAGACCACAGTTGGCAACTTTATTAAAACCTTCTGTAAAACTATGTGATCAATGTCAGATGTGTCAAAATTGAAAGCAGCTTCTCATTGGAAAAATACTGAGAACTCTATTTAACTGTCTTATTTACACATAAATCCAAAAATATGGGAGACAGGGTGTGGCCTGATCAAGGAGATGCTCAGTTATTGCTTCTGCCCCAGAAACGACAGACTTTAGGGTATGGGTTGGTAGGAACTGGGTCTACTAATGGGAGATGGGAGAACCTAGATCCTCTTTTTGTGATTACAGGCTGAAAAGATGAACTTTAAGAGGCAGTCCTGGCCGGGCGCGGTGGTTCACGCCTGTAATCCCAGCACTTTGGGAGGCCGAGGCCGGCGGATCACAAGATCAGGAGATCGAGACCATCCTGGCTAACAGGGTGAAGCCCTGTCTCTACTAAAAATACAAAAAAATTAGCCGGGCGTGGTGGTGGGCACCTGCAGTCCCAGGTACTCGGGAGGCTGAGGCAGGAGAATGGTGTGAACCCGGGAGGTGGAGCTTGCAGTGAGCAGAGATCACGCCACTGCACTCCAGCCTGGGCGACAGCGAGACTCTGTCTCCAAAAAAAAAAAAAAAAAAAAAAGAGGCAGTCCTCTCAGGAGGCCCAGATGGCTATCATGCAGCCGTCCCCTTAATCAGTCACACTTTGGGTGAGCAGTTCAACCTTCTGTTTCCAAGACCCCTTTAAACTCTTATAAATTATTAAGGGACTCGAAGCTTTTCTTTCTGTAAGTTATAATCCATCAATATTTATCATATTAGAAATAAAAACAGGAAAATTTAAATGTTCATTAATTCATTTAAAAAGAAAAATCTATGACATTAACAAAAATAGCATGCTTTATAAAAAACAACTACCTTTTCCAAAACAAAACAAAACAAAAAGTCTTGAAAAGAGTGGCATCATCTTAACAATTCTGCAAATCTCTTTAATGTATGGCATAATAGATGATAGCTAGATCCTCAGATCTGCTTCTGCAGTCAATCTGTTGCAATATAATATTTTGTTTGAAGTTTATGGAGGAAATCTGTCCTCACACAGATAGGTAATTGAACAGGGAAAGAGTATGTTAGTAGCTTTTTCAGTTAATTGTGGATATTATTATTTGATACTACACCAAAATTCAACAGATGCTGGTTTCTTAAAGGTTATTTGTAATGTGGAATTTGAAATCCTATCAATGAACCTTTCTTTGTTACATTAAATACTCTGTTATAATAAAATCCACTGGTCTAAAAACAAACAAGAAAGTACTCACTGGTCAGTCTCGACTTTGAATACTGATTGTGTAACATCATGCACTAGTTTTTTGGAAAATGAGCTGATCTTCCCAATGTGGACACATTTCACAAAAAAATTTAAAACTACATGCATTAATATCACCACAATCTCATCAGAAAAATCTTGTCTCAATATTTAAAATATTAGGAAGCTATGAAGTTCATAGTTGCAGATAGAGGTTTTCCGAAACTCTCATTTTTTTCTTGGAAGTTCAAAATTTTATCATTGGTAACTGATATGGTTTGGCTGCATCCCCACCCAAATCTCATCTTGAATTCCCACATGTTGTGGGAGGGACCCGGTGGGAGGTAATTGAATCACGGGGGCAAGTTTTTCCTGTGCTGTTCTCGTGACTGTGAATAAATCTCACAGGATCTTATGGTTTTATAAAGTGGAGTTCCCCTGCAAAAGCTCTCTTTCTTTGACTGCTGCCATCCATGTAAGATGTGACTTGCTGCTCCTTGCCTTCCACCATGATTGTGAGGCCTCCCCAGCCACGTGAAACTGTAAGTCCATTAAACCCCGTTTTCCTATGTAAATTACCCAGTCTTGGGCATGTCTTTATCAGCAGCATGAAAATGGACTAACACAGTAAATTGGTACCAGTAGAGTAGGTTGCTGCTGGAAAGATACACAAAAATGTGGAAGCAACTTTGGAACTGGGCAACAGGCAGAAGTTGGAACAGTTTGGAGGGCTTAGAAGAAGACAGGAAAATGTGGGAAAGTTTGGAACTCCTTACAGACTTGTTGAATGGCTTTGACCAAAATGCTGATAATGATATGGACAATGAAACTCAGGCTGAGGTGGTCTCAGATGGAGATGAGGAACTTGTTGGGAACTAGAGCAAAGGTGACTCTTGTTATGTTTTAGCACAGAGACTAGAGGCATTTTGCCCCTGCCCTAGAGATGTGTGGAACTTTGAACTTGAGAGAGATGATTTAGGGTATCTGGTGGAAGAAACTTCTAAGCAGCAAAGCATTCAAGAGGTGACTTGGATGCTGTTAAAGGCATTCCGTTTTATAAGGGAAGCAGAGCATAAAAGTTCGGAAAATTTGCAGCCTGCCAATGCGATAGAAAAGAAAATCCCATTTTCTGAGGAGAAATTCAAGCCAGCTGCAGAAATTTGCATAAGTAACCAGGAGCCGAATGTTAATCCCCAAGACAATGGGGAAAATGTCTCCAGGGCGAAAGGGGTCTTCACAGCAGCCCCTCCAATAACAGGTCCGGAGGCCCAGGAGGAAAGAGTGGTTTTGTGGGCCGGGCCCAGGGTCCCTGTTCTGTGTGCAGCCTAGGGACTTGGTGCCCTGTGTCCCAGCCATTCCAGCTGTGGCTGAAAGAGGCCAATGTAGAGCTTGAACCATGGCTTCAGAGGGTGCAAGCCTCAAGCCTCAAGCCTTGGCAGCTTCTGTTGGTGTTGAGCCTGTCAGGGCACAGAAGTCAAGAACTCAGGTTTGAGAACCTCTGCCTAGATTTCAGAGGATGTGTGGAAATGTCTATGTGTCCAGGCAGAAGTTTGCTGCAGGGGCAGGCTGTCATGAAGAACCTCAGCTAGGGCAGTGCAGAAGGGAAATGTGGGGTCGGAGCCACCACACAGAGTCCCTACTGAGGCACTGCCTAGTGGAGCTGTGAGAAGAGGGCCACCATCCTCCAGACCCCAGAATGGTAAATCCGCTGACATCTTGCACCGTGTGCCTGGAAAAGCTGTAGACTCTCAATGCCAGCCCATGAAAGCAGACAGGAGGGAAGCTGTACGCTGCAAAGCCACAGGGGTGGAGCTGTCCAAGACCATGGGAACCCACCTCTTCCATTAGGATGACCTGGATGTGTGACAAGGAGTCAAAGGAGATCATTTTGGAGCTTTCAGATTTGATTGCCCCGCTGGATTTCGGACTTGCATGGGGCCCATAGCCTCTTTGTTTTGGTCAATTTCTCCCATTTGGAATGGCTGTATTTACCCAATGCCTGCACCCCAATTGCATCTAGGATGTAACTAACTTGTTTTTGATTTTACAGGCTCATAGGCAGAAGGGACTTGCCTTGTCTTGGATGAGACTTCGGAATGTGGACTTTTGAGTTAATGCTGAAATGAGTTAAGACTTTGGGGGACTGTTGGGATGGCATGATTGATTTTGAAATGTGAGGACATGAGATTTGAAGGGGCCAGAGGTGAAATAATACGGTTTGTCTGTGTCCCCACTCAAATCTCATCCTGAATTCCCACATGTTGTGGGAGGGACCCAGTGGGAGGTAACTGAATCATGTGGGGCAACTCTTTCCCGTGCTGTTCTCGTGATAGTGAATAAGTTTCACAAGATCTGGTGGTTTTATAAAGAGAAGTTTCCCTGCGCAAGCTCTCTCTTTGTCTGCTGCCATCCACGTAAGATGTGACTTGCTCCTCCTTGCCTTCCACCATGATTGTGAGGCCTCCTTGGCCACATGGAACTCTAAGTCCATTATACCCTTTTTCCTGTATAAATTACCCAGTCTTGGCTATGTCTGTATCAGCAGCATGAAAATGGACTAATACAGTAACAAATATTGTCAATTATTTTCCTTGAAGTGATGCACTTACTTCATTTATTTTTTGGGGAATTTCCACCAAATACCCAAGTCTGAATAATCAGTTCATCTGTCAATAGTCCTTTCAAGCAAAAATAATGTTCCATGGGAAAAAGTTTCTTCCTGAGACAACCATTGTACTTTAGCAAGTGGCACAAGTTTTTTGTAAGTACTTTCCATTTTATCACATAGAATTTTAAAAAGGCATGTTCTTGAGGGTAAAGATGACAAAATAATATTTACTGCTTCATCAAAGACATTTCTAAACACAACTGTCTTAAAAAAAAAAACTGTGTGGTGGTGAGGCATTCAGTGACTACTAGCACAGTCTGGTAGCCATAGTCTGGTGCCCCACCTTGATTTTGACAAAGGGGCCAGGAGTTTGACTCCCCTGCCCTTCCACTGCTTCTGGACCAATATGCAAATATCAACACAGTGAAAAGGCAAACAATATCTCACTGCCCTTATTATGAAGATGGTTTTGACCTATGGACACTCTGAAATGGCCTAAGGACTCCCAGGGATCCACAAGCCCTACTTGATAACTGCTGCCTTAGGATTAGTAAAAGTACAAGCTCTTATGCCTTCCCTACAGCCCATCTACCTCCAATTTTCTCCCAAAACTTCTCCAGGGGACCCTGCTTAGTGTCTTAAGACATTAGTGTCTTAATGAAAGCACAAGTCACCCTGTTTACAATCTGCAAATTTTATGAGGGCAAAGAATAACAAATATTTATTGATTATTAAAACCTGAGTGAATGTTTTAAACTCTTAGTATTATCCTTTCTATAAAAAAAAAAAAAAAAAGCTTATGTATGCCAGCTGGTGGCTCATGCCTTTAATCGTAACACTTTGGGAGGCCAAGGCAGAAGGATCACTTGAGGCCAGGAGGTTGAGGATGCAGTGAGCTATGATTATGCCACTGCACTCCAGCCTGAGTGATAGAGCAAGACAAAGGAAGAAAGAAAGAGAGAAAGAGAGTAAGACAGAGGGAGGGAGAGAAGGAAGGAAGGAAGGAAGGAAGGAAGGAAGGAAGGAAGGAAGGAAGGAGGGAGGGAGGGAGGGAGGGAGGGAGGGAGGGAGGAAGGAGCTGAGTCTAACAATAATTAGCTACTACTTTCATGAGTAAGTGTCAGCCAAATGCAAGGCACCTATTCTAAGTGAGCTCAATTTCAATTGGCCCCAGAGAGTTGGCCCTCAATAACACCTTAAAGGTTCCTGCTAGCATTCATCCCGTTAAATCATAGCACTGTACCCCAGAGCTTGGTGTATACCCGTTTGGCCTCTGTTCTATGTGTACCTGGGGAGAGAGAAAAACATCTGGAGATGCTAAAGAACAACAGGCCACCTCTACTTAAGGCAGCCTTTCCCAAACATGCCCATAATCAACACTCTAACCCTGAATCTCTGCGGGCTAGGCTGAAGATCTATATTTTAACCACCCCCACCAAGAGCTGGTACATATGTTCAGCAAATTTGGAAAATGCTGCGTAAGGATGTTAAGATGTACGCAGTGTTATCTCAGGGAAAACTAAAGCATGAATTCAATCACCGTAATCTGACCTTGTCCAAAGAACTTAAGTTTGTTCCTCCTTGGGAATCTGACTAAAGTTATTATTTAGTGCCTTTGAAAGTGTGCTTTAAGCGAATATATTTTACTTCATCCCATTAATACATTCCTTTATTATTACCTACTTTTCACTTTTCTGTAACTTTCTAGGGCTTTTTTTAGTATCACTAGTAAAGGTTCCTTTATATTGTGTGTTACTTGTCCACTTACCTATAAGCTACTCGTTGCATATTTTTTACCCCTCTATTCTCAGGAAGCTCATATCCTGGATTCAGCCCATCAGTGTCGCTCTTGGCAGCCCCCTTTCTTGGCCTTATCAGAAGCCAATTTCATTCATCCATTTGCATGTTCTTTTCCCACACAGAACCATGTCCTGAGATTGTGTGCCCTCCATTTCCCTCCCCTTCAACCTGAATTGTAGGCCTTAAGACACTGAGTTCTGCAACCTAAACCTTTCTCACAAAAGTCTCGATTAACTTCTTCCTGCCTGTGGTCATTCCACTCCTTTCCTCCAGATGATGCCAGTCTTCTACTGATATCACGTTTCCTTTGTAAGCCAGTTCTCATAGCTTCCTTAGAAAGTAGGGCATGGTGGATAAAAGCATGGACTTCTAAATCAGGTGGACCTGGGGTGAACTCTAGTTCAGCTATGAGACCTTGGGTAAGTAATTTAAACTTTCTGTGCCTCAGTTTCTTCATCAGTAAAAATGTACATAATGACTCCTCCCTAGGATTAGTTACCACCTGGCATATGAGTGTTCAGTAAAGTAACAATACACAGTTAATTAAATGGCAGTAACTACACACAGCTCTGTATAAACAGTAGCAACTATAATTATTCCAACAAATAAAACCACAGCTACAATCACATGAGCAACTCCTAACACTACTTTTCAATAACTTTCAAATGCACACAGTTATTAATGCAGATGAAATACAGAGCTAGAATGAAAGACACATGTTCATATCTCAGATATGTGAAAATCTTGATGGCATGACCCAGCACACTATACATGTGCTGTACTATACATGAGGCACTGTAATTATCTCAATGTTGTTCAGGTTTCCCAGGTAGTAATGACTGCTTTTAATCAGTTATGAAGGAACGGCAGTTTTCTTATTCTTGTACCTAAACTTCCCCTCCTATAAAGTGAAGATGATAATAAGAGTCAACGTTTATTGAAGATTGACTATGTACCAAGCACTATTCCAGGCATTTCACAAGTATCACCATTGGTATGAGGTAGGCTTGACAGCCATCCCCACCCTACCAATAAGGAAAGTGAAGCACTGCTAGGCACGGTGACTTATACCTAGAATCCCAGTGCTTTGGGAAGTTGGGGCCAGGAGTTCAAAACCAACCTGGGCAATATAGCAACATCTCACCTCTAAAAAAATGAAAAAATTAGCCAGGCATGGTTGTGTGTGCCTATAGTCCCAACTACTTGGGAGGCAAAGGCAGGAGGATGGCTTGAGCCTCAGAGCTTAATCATTCCACTGTACTCCAGTGAGTTATAATCATTCCACTGTACTCCAGCCTGGGTGACACAGCAAGACTCTGCCTCTAAAAGAAAAAAAAAAAAAAAAAGAGAGAGAGAGAAAGAAAAGTGAAGCCCAGATAAGGTGAGGAAGCTTAACAATCTTGGCCATAGCAGCTTGTGATTTATCTTCCTCTTGGATTGTGAAGTCTATGGATAACGAAATCTGGTGCTACTGTGACAACAACCTTCCTGATACTGTAGAAGGTGGAGAAAAGCAAAGATATGAGAATGAGGATGGGAAAAGCAAGAAAAAGAAAGGCCTGATGATCTCTTTGAACCCCTGAATCCAGCTATCTCCGAGACTGGGATATCCCTAGAACTCTCAGTTATAATAGCCAATTTATTTCCTTTTCTATGGCCAGTTTGAATTGGGTTTCTGTCCCTTACAACTAAATGACTCCTCATTGCGACCTGTTCTTAAAAATTCTTAAATTTTACTGAGACAGAAGGTCAAGAGTCATGAAAAGCTCTAAATTCTATTTGTCCATTACAAGAACCTTACATTTAGGGGGATTTAAAATAAGCATGAAAATAAGCATAAAATCAAATGTAATTTTTCAAATTTTGAAGCCATACCCACTCATTAGGCAAACCAAATACAGCCATGGTCAGCTTAAATGACTAGATCATGTGCTACACTCCACTTCCCAGTCCTTCTTTAATGACTCCATAATGGCAGCTGGAGATTCTCTACTCACACAAATAGTTACACATCAAGGGCAATACCAAGTCTGCCAAGTATAATGCATGTGAACTTACTTCTGTGAAGAAGATATGCGAAAATACAATAGAGCACACGAATATTCTGAGACGCTAACACATGAGAGAGTAGTCTTTAATAGAGAATAAATGACCGGTTCATAATATAAAGGAAAGCTTTGTCTTCTGGTATGCTAAAAAATACAGAGTGAACATATTTCCGGTAAATTAAGGAGTTAATTTGAACTTCAGGCTCTTATTACTTCTTAGGAGCACATAGGGTACTGAATTATGCATTAATTCACTATTTTTTAGGAAACCCAATAAGAAAAACTGTCATGGCTTCATCTCTTTTCCCTTCCCTTAAAAAAATACAACCAACCAAACTGAATTACTACCCTATGTTGACCTCAGTGTAATCACAGTGACTATTCTGTTCCTGTTAGCTTTGGCATTGGGGCTTGTTACTACACTAAAAATTTGGACTGGAATGATATCAGAAAGGCTGGCCTCTACAGCTCTCAGATTATTGAAGTGCCAGATGAAAACACAGTCTTTAACTTAGCTAACTCTCAATTAGTCCTGCTAATAAGTAAGTAATTCAAAATTCTATTTTTCTAATTCATCATTTAGCAAACATCCATTGAGTGTTCATTTTGAGAATGTAAAAATAAGTAAAATATAGAAACTGACCCCTCAAGAAGCTCACATTCTAGCTGTTATGAAGGAAAGTTTTCCAAATAGAGCATAATAGAATTAATAAATGCTAAAACATAGCTATGATAACACAGAGTCCAAAAATAAACCATACACATACAGTCAGCTGATTTTTCAATGAAGGTGCCAATAAGAATGGGGAGAGGCCAGTCAGCAGTAAGGAGAGAAAGTAAGCAGTGTTGAAGCAGTCTACCTAAGAAGTGAAGATCCTGAAGTAACATAATTCACGTATTATGTTACTATTATTAGCTATAGGATAAAACTAGACTTCTGAAAGCCTTCTCTCATAAAATTTAGAATGGAGCTAAGACAGGTCAGAAGCCTGGGCTGCTGAGGGAGACTTACCCTCATGATCAATATTTGGCTGGGGGATGGGAGGTGGCAGGTGGGCATAAACCATCCTTTCCCCCTGTGAGAATACCAAGGGGAGCTTCCGGTACTGTGCCTCCACAGGAAGGCATCCTCTGTCCCTGGATGTCTTCATGGGAAACTCTGGGGTACTGGGAAACCCAGATCTGCATCTGAGATCATGCTGTATTGTCTCCAGCTTAGAGTAACTAAATATTACCTCCTGCAGCTGTGTCTGTTAGCTTCTTTCTTGCAATCATAATCTCACCCCTTTGAGAACCACACACTTCCTTAATTATTCTCAAGTTAAGATGATCTTCATAAGCTAGCTCTCTGCCCCAAACTACTGCATTCCTGCCCAATGTTCTTCTTTATGACCACATGCAGAAGGCAATTCTGATGAGCTGCTTTGACCTGAGATCTTGCTCTGGTCTAACGCCATAAAAGGAGGCCCTGTGTTAATATATTTGATGCAGAGCTAATATAAGTTTCCCATATAGTCAACCTCAATACCTGTTATCTGGGTTGTTGCATCTCTTTCTGACCCTGCTATTCCATCCTTTAAACATTTTGACCTTTTTTCTTGATGACTAGGTGCCTCTCCTAATCACTGCAAAGCCTTTTGTATCTTTTACAGCCTCCCTGAGTGCACCATCTAAGGATACCTCATACATTGTTTAGTTCACTGCTCTATGCACAGCTTCATCTGTTGGATGTCACTCTGGTGAGGGTGACCCTGTATTCCAGACTATGACTTCCATAGCTCAGAACCACTGGCCAATGCTTCAGACACCATACTGAGAGGAGGTTCTCCTCACTGGGTCTCTATCCTCTGTTTGTGGTTCTTCACTTGGGATCTTGATCCTGCTACCAGCTCCTCTGGATGCCTCCTCTGCCCCCTAGGCTTGGTCAAGCACACTGCCTTCTTGCACCACTTAGGAGATACTATCTCAGACCTCACATGTCTGTTCAGAAGGAAAGGAATGAAAGAATGAAGCAACAGGAGGTGTGAGGCTTATTTTAAAAGAGAAGCATCTTTGTTATAACAGCAAGAGTGCCCAGTTGCCTCAGATTCCCAGTTCAGAGCCTTAGGGGAAGATTTAGAGGGAAGACCCATGCCAACCCTACAGAAGCCTGCTAGTTAGCCACACTCTGGTCACAGTGCAGAGTCTGCAGTCAGCCCTGCCTTCAGTGGAAAAGCCTCTAAGACAATGAGACCCACACTGCTACAGAGGGGACTTGTGCTAACTATCAACACAATCAGCTTTGGCAATCATCAGCCATTTAAGAAAAAGCAGTACCCATGAAAAAGAAAGGCCAAGAGGAACATATAAGACAGGTCATACCTGAGGACAGATAATTCACAGGAATAATTTTTAAAATTCTAATTAATAATGCACAAATAAATTTAAATGAGATACTGTATCTATAAAACACAAAAGACTATTAAGAAAAAGGACAATCAGAAAAATACAGATTTACTGGAAATTAAAAATAATTGTCAAAATAAAAAATTTTATGAATGGACTAAATATTATTAATTGGTCAAAATGGTCAAAATTAGTAATACAGGAGAAAAGATGGAAGAAATCTCCTATAACATCAATCAAAAAGACAAACAGCTTAGAAGAGGCACAGAAGATAGATCTGGGAGGTCTCCACATAGTTCTACTAAAATTCCAAATTCAGAACTGAATTGGATAAAGAAGTCTTTTAAAGAATGAAGAAAAAAGTATAATTAATTAAAGTATAATTAAATTGTTTCATCTATAGAGTCATAATTGCTTATATTTAAATAACCCAATATATAATCCAGCAAGAGAAATAATAATTATGGCAACTAACATTTATTAAGCCCTTCCAGCCTGAGATGCTGATCTAAATATTAATTCATACAATGCTCATAAAAACTCTACTTATTCCATTATTTATGTGAGGCAACTGAGGCATAGAGAGGTTCAGTAGCTTGTCCAAGGTATAAGCAGGTATAATATATGGTAGCGCTGGGATCGGAAACCAGGCTGCATGACTCCAGAGCCCATGGTCAAATTTAGATACATCCAGAATTCCAAAAATAAAGAGAAAATTCTAAAAAATTTCAAAACAAGAAGAACAGAAAGAACTTAAAACAAGACAAAAATCAGACTGCCATACTTATTAGCAAACTTGGATGACAGACGATATTGAGGTAATGACTTCATTTAAAGTCCTGAAGAAAAATGATTTTGCAACTAGAATTCTATACACCCAAACTACTGAATTATGATGGAAAAATACTTTTCACAAAGACACAAATTTAACTACATTTGTTCTTCATGTGAAAAAGTTACACAATGAGGCAATACAAAAAAAAAGGAAACAAGAAAGATAATAACTAACAGGAAAGAAGCAGTGGTAGCTGACCATGACCTACAGCAAAGAGCAAAAAAGAAATCAGTGGAGAATCCCCTGGACCTTGATTCTTGTGACAGCTTCCTTCAAGTGGCAAACACTTAGACACGGAGCACTGCATTTCCTTCTCCATGGGTCCAATCACACCATTTGGTGTATAATCAATAATCAGTACACTCACAGCATCATCATTACAATGCTGTAAGATTGGGTTGAAGTTTTAAAAAAATCAACATATAGGCCAGACACAGTGGCTCATGCCTGTAATCCCAGCACTTTGGGAGGCTGAGGTGGGAGTATCACTTGAGGTCAGAAGTTTGAGATCAGACTGGGCAATGTAGTAGGACCCTGTCTCAAAAAAAATATTACAAATTAGTTGGGCGTGGGGGGCTGAAACAGGAGGATCACTTGAGCCCAAGAGTTCAAGATTGTAGTGAGCTGTGATCATGCCACTGCACTCCAGCCTGGGTGACAGAGTAAGACTGTCTCAAAAAAAAAAAAAAATTAAAAAAAAATCTGAGCCAGGTGTAGTGGCTCACACTTGTAATCCCAAAACTTTGGGAGGTTAAGGCTGGAGGACTGCTTGAGCCTAGAAGTCTGAGGCCAGCTTGGGCAACATGGCAAGACTCTGCCTCTACAAAAAACTTAAAAATTAGCCTGGCATGGTGATGGGTATCTATGGTCCTAGCTACTGAGGAGGCTGAGGTGGGAGGATCACTTGAGTCCAAGAGGTCAAGGCTGCACAGTGAGCCATGTTTGTACCACTGCACTCCAGCCTGGAAAACAGAGCAAGACCCTGTCTCTGAAAGAAAAAAAAAACATATAGAACAAACATACATGATAAAAATTACCCAATAGAATATAGAGTAACAATCCCCAACAATTGAAAAATAACATAAAAATGGAAGAGGAGATGAAAAGTGTGCTGATTTCTTCCTTAGTCATAGTGTGGAATCAACAGATTCTATCTAAAAAGTTGACAAATCAAGAGACAGAAGTATTAAAGAAATGTAATATTTAAAGTTATAATGGAAACCACTAGAATAACAACTAAAAAAGAAATAGCTAAAAATGAACTCAGAATTGGGGAAGAATTTATATCTTTCATTTAAAATCCTCCTGAGTGAACTAATTTTTTTATTATATGCAGTACTAAAATTTGTAATATGCAGTTTAAAAATAAAATATTAATTAAAGGACACTTTAAAAAATAAAGGATTGGTTAAATAAGTTGTAGCACTTCTATTTAAAAGAGTGACATATGGCTGCTGGAATGAATGAGCTAGATTCACAAGTACTGGCATGCAGAGCTGATCAAGCTGTTATGTTTAGAGGGAAAAAGGTTTAAAGCAATGAAGACTGGATGATCCCACTTATGTCAAAGTATATTTATGCTTACGCATAGAAAGAGGTTTAGAAGGTAAAAACTGTTGAGACTGAAAGGCAAGCAAGAGGAAAAGAAAGCTGTTGTTTTTTACTTTCCACTTCTATATTGCTTATATTTTTATAATGAGCAGTATCATTCATATAATTAAAACAATTAAGAACAGTGACACACTTCACTACTACTGACCGTGGACCTGGTCCAGGTGTTACATCTAATTCCTGCAGAGTGTGGTAATTCCATCAGTATTAAAAAAAAAAAACAAACATAAAGGACCTCTTTCTCAAATTATTCAAACACAAGTACGAGCCTCAGTGTAACAAATCCTGACAGTACATTACTGTGACTAATATTCCTCCAATCAAGGGTTTCATTATGACATGCCCTTAATCATTACTAGAATTAATGAGATAGGTCATGAGTGCCATATAAAGAAAGGACTACCAACTTTAAAGAGAAATGTTTCGGCCCACACAGGAGCAATAATCTCCACAACGGTAACAAACATGGTATTTTGGGTCTTCCTCCCTCCATAATTAACTATGATAAAAATCCCCACTCCTTCAAAGCATGCATGCAACTACACAGTATCGAGAACAGATGTTCTAATGCTGGAGGAATCACATTATCATACTTCAAACTGTACCACAAGGCCACAGAAACAAAAATAGCATGGTACTGGTACAAAAAACAGACACACAGACCAATGGAACAGAATAGAGAGCCCAGGAACAGAGCCACACACCTACAACATGTGATCTTTGAGAAAGTTGACAAAAACAAACAATGGGGAAAGGACTCCTTATTCAACAAATGGTGCTGGGATAACTGGCTAACCACATGCAGAAGACTGAAACTGGACCCCTTTCTTACCCCATATGCAAAAATCAACTCAAGATGGATTAAAGACTTAAATGTAAAACCAAAAACTATAAAATCCCTGGAAGATAACCTAGAAAGTACTATTCTGAATGTAGGGACTGGCAAAGATTCCATGATGAAGATGCCAAAAGCAATTTCAACAAAAACAAAAATTGACAAATGGAACCAAATTAAACAAAAGAGCTTTTGCACAACAAAACAATCAACAGAGTAAAGAGACAACCTACAAAATGAGAGAAAATATTTGCAAATGCATCCAACAAAGGTCTGATATCCATAATCTATAAGGAACTTAAACAAAAAACAAAAAACAACCCCATTAAAAAGTGGGCAAAGGACATGAACAGTCACTTTTCAAAAGAAGACATATGCACAGCCAACAAGCATATGAAAAAAATGCTTAACATCACTAATCACTGGAGAAATATAAATCAAAACTACAATGAGATACCATCTCACAATAGTCAGAATGGGTATTAAAAAGTCACAAAATAACATGCTAAAGAGGTTGTGGAAAAAAGGGAACACTTACATACCGTTGATGGGAATGTAAATTAGTTCAGCCATTGTGGAAAGCAGCTTGGCAATTTCTCAAAGAACTTAAAACAGAACTACCATCAGACTCAGCAATCTCATTACTGTTTATATACCCAAAGGATTATAAATCAGTCTACCATAAAGACACATGTGTGTGTATGTTCATTACAGCACTATTCACAATAGCAAAGGCATGGACTCAACCTAAATTCCCATCAACAGTAGACTAAATAAAGAAAATGGGGTAGGCCTGGCCAGGTGCAGTGGCTCACGCCTGTAATCCCAGCACTTTGGGAGGCCGAGGTAAGCAGATCACAAGGTCAGGAGATC